>NC_000011.10:54525074-54828104 GCF_000001405.40 Homo sapiens | reverse complement strand
CATCACAGATTCTACAAAAACAGTGTTTCCAAACTGCTGAATGGAAAGAAAGGTTTAACTCTGTGAGATGAATACACATATCACAAAGCAATTTCTCAGATAGCTATCTTCTAGTTTTTTTTTTCCTGAGACTTTCGTTTTTCTGCCATTGGCCTAAATGAGCTCCCAAATGACCATTCACAGAATGGGCAAAAACAGCGTTACCAAACTACTGAATTAAAGGAAAAGTTTAACTCTGTGAGATGAATGCACACATCCCAAACCAGTTTCTCATTAGGCTTCTTTCTAGTTTTTATCTGAAGATATTTTCTTTTTCAGCATAGGACTCAATGAGCTAAAAAAAAATCTCTTTACAGATCTAACAAATCAGTGTTTCCTAACTGCTAAATGAAAAGAAACGTTTAACTCTGTTAGATGAATATCCACATAATAAATTGGTTTCTCAGATAACTTCCTTCTAGTTTTTATCCTGGTATATTCGCTTTTTCACCATTGGCCTCAATGAGATCCCAAATGTCCATTTGCGAAATGGACAAAAACAGTGTTTCCAAAGGGCTGAATCCAAAGAAAGGTTTAACTCTGTGAGATGAATGAACACATCACAAAACAGTTTCTCAGAAAGCCTCTTTCTAGTTTTTCTCAGAAGAAAATTCTTTTTTAACCATAGGCCTCCATGTGATGCCAAATATCCCTACACTGATTCTACAAAAAAAGTGTTTCCAAACTGGTGAATGAAAAGAAAGGTTTACCTCTATGAGATGAATGCACACATCACAAATCGGTTTCTCAGATGGCTTCCTTCTAGTTTTTACCCAGGTATATTCACTTTATCACCATTGACCTCAATGAGTTCCCAAATATTTACTCTCAGAATGGACAAAAACAGTGTTTCCAAATGGCTGAATCCAAAGAAATGTTTCACTCTGTGAGATGAATGAACACATCACAAAGCAGTTTCTCATAACAGTGTTTTCCACTTACTATCGGGCAATATTTCCTTTTCCACCATAGGCTTCAATGTGTTGCCAGATATCCCTTCGCAGAATCTACAAAAACAGTGTTTCCAAACCGCTGAATGAAAAGAAAGTTTTAGCTCTGTGAGATGAATGCACACATCAAAAAGCATTTTCTCAAGTATCTTCCTTCTAGTTTTTATCCTGTGATGTGCACCTTTTCACCATTGGCCTCAATGAGCTCCCAAATGTCCATTCACATAATGGACAAAAAAAGTGTTACCAAACTGCTCAATCAAAAGCAAGTTTTAACTCTGTGAGATGAATTCACACATCACAAACCTGTTTCTCATTAAGCTTCTTTCTAGTTTTTATCTGAAGATATTTCCTTTTTAACCATAGCCTTCAATGCCCCACCAAATATCTCTTCACAGATTCTAAGAAAACAGTGTTTCCAGACTGCTGAATGCAAAGAAAGGTTTAACTGTGTGAGATAAATGCACTCATCACAAAGGAGTCTCTCAGAAAGGTTCTTTCTGGTCTTTATCTGAAGATATTTCCTTTTTCAGCATAGGCTTCTATGCATTCCCAGATATCACTTACTATATTCGACAAAAACAGTGTTTCCAAAATGTTGAATGAAAAGAAAGGTTTAACTCTGTGACATTAATTCACACATCACAAAGCAGTTTCTCAGAAAGCTTCTTTCTAGTTTTTATCTGAAAATATTTCCTTTTTCACCATAGGCCTCTAGGTGCTCCCAAATATAATATCGCAGATTCTACAAAAACAGTGTTTCCAAACTGCTGAATAAAAAGAGCATTTTATGTCAGAGGGATGAATGCACACACCACAAAGCAGTTTCTCAGATAGATCGCTTCAGGTTTTTTTCCTGAGATACTCGGTTTTTCCACTTTGGCCTATTTAAGCTCCCGTACTGCTGAATGAAAAGGAAGGTTTAATTCTGTGAGATGAATACACACATCACAATGTGATTTGTGATGTGTGAATTCACATCAAAATGCGATTTCTCAAATAGCTTCCTTCTAGTTTTTATATTGGGATATTTACTTATTTGCCATTGGCCTCAAAGAACTCCCTAATATCCCTTCACAGATTCTGCAACAACAGTGTTTCCAAACTGCTGATCTAAGGAAAGTTTTAACTGTGTGAGATCAATTCACACATCACAAAGCAGTTTCTCACAGAGCTTCTTTTTAATTTTTATATGAAGATATTTCGTTTTTCTCCATAGGCTTCAATTCCCTCCCAAATATCACTTGGCAGATTCTTCCAAAACAGTGTTACCAGACTGCTGAATTGAAAGAAGGTTTTAGTTCTGTGAGATGAATGCACACATCACAAAGCAGTTTCTCAAAAAGCTTCTTTCTAGTTTTTATAAGAAGATATTTCCTTTTCCACCATAGACCTTAATGTACTCACAAATATAACTTCGCCTAATCTACGAAAACCATGTTTCCAAATTGTGGAAAGAAAAGAAAGGTTTATCTTGGAGAGATGAGTGCATACATAACAAAGTGGTTTCTCAGATAACTTCCTTCTAGTTTTTATCCTGGGATGTGCGCTTTCTCGCCTTTGGACTCATGAAGCTCCCAAGTAACCCTTTGAAGATTGTACAACAACAGTGTTTCCAAAGTGCTGAATCCAAAGAAAACTTTAACTGAGTGAGATGAATGCACACATCACAAAGTAGTCTCTCAGCAAGCCTCTTTCTAGTTTTTATCCAAAGATATTTCCTTTTTCACCATAGGCCTCAATGGTCACCCTTTACAGTTTCTTGAAAAACAGTGGTTCCAAACTGCTGAATGAAAAGAAAGGTGAAACTCTGTTAGATGAGTGCACACATCACAATGCATTTTCTCAGATAGCTTCCTTCTAGTTTTTGTCCTGGGATATTCGGTTTTTCACCTTTGGCCTCATTAAGTTCCCAAATACACTTCTCAGATTCTACAACAACAGTGTTTCCAAAACACTGAATGAAAAGAAAGGTTTAACTCGGAGAGATGAATGCACACATCACAAAGCAATTTCTCAGACTTTCTTTCTAGTTTTTAACTGAACATATTTCCTTTTTCACCGTAGGCCTCAATGCACTCTCAAATAGCCCTTTGATGATACTGCAAAAACAGTGTTTCCAGACTGCTGAATGCAAAGAAGGTTTTAATTCTGCAAGGTGAATGCACACAACACAAAGCCGTTTCTCAGATAGCTTTCTTCTCATTTTAATCCTGGGATATTCACTTATTCACCATTGGCCTCAATGAGCTCCAAAATGTCCATTCACAGAATGGACAAAAACAGTGTTTGCAAATTGCTGAATCCACAGAAAGGTTTAACTCTGTGAGATGAATGCACACATCACAAAGCAGTTTCTCAGAAAGCTTCTTTCTAGTTTTTCTCTGAAGATATTTCCTTTTTCAACATAGGCCTCAATGCACTCCTGAGTATCCCTTCACGGATTCTGTGAGACAGTGTTTCCAGACTTCTGAATGAAAAGAAAGCTTTATCTCCATGAGGTGAATGCACACATCACAACGTGGATTCTCAGATAGCTTCCTTCCAGTTTTTATCCTGGGATATTCACTTTTTCACCATTGTTCTCAATGAGCACCGAAATGTCTATTCACTGAATGGACAAAAACAGTGTTTGCCAACTGGTCAATCCATAGAATGGTTTAACACTGTGAGTTGAATACACATATCACAAACCAGTTTCTCAGAAAGCTTCTTTCTAGTTTTAATCTGAAGATATTTCCTTTTCACCATAGGTCTCAATGCATTCCCAGATATCCCTTCACAGATCCTAGGAAAACAGTGTTTACAAACAGCTGAATAAAAAGAAAGTTTTAACTCTGTTAGAAGAATGCACACATCACAAAGCAGTTTCTCAGGTAGCTTCCCTCTATTTTTTATCCTGAAGTGTTCTCTTTTTTGCCTTTGACCTCAAAGAGCTTGCAAATTTCCATTCCCTGAATGGAGAAAAACAGTGTTTGCACACTACTGAATCCACAGAAAGGTTAAAATCTGTGAGATGAATGCACACATCACAAAGCAGTTTCTCAGAAAGCTTCTTTCTACTTTTTATCTGAAGATATTTCTTTTTCCACCATAGGCCTAAATACACTCCCAAATATCCCTTTCTGGATTGTGCCACAATAAGGTTTCCAGACTGCTGGATGTAAAGAAAGGTTTAACTCTGTGAGGTGAATGCATACATCACAACGAGGTTTTTCAGAAATATTCCTTCCAGTTTTTATCCTGGAATATTCACTTTTTTGCTATTGGCTACATTGAGCTATGAAATGTCTATTCGCAGAATAGACAAAAACAGTATTTCCAAACTGCTGAATCCACAGAAATGTTTAACTCTGTGAGATCAATGCACGCATCACAAAGCAGTTTCTCAGAAAGATTCTTTCTAGTTCTTATATGAAGATATTTTCTTTTTCACCATAGGCCTCAATGTGCTCCAAAGTATCCCTTCGTAGATTCTGCCCAAACAGTGTTTCCAGACTGCTGAATTAACAGAAAACTTTATCTCTGCGAGGTGAATGCACACATCACAAAGTGGTTTCTCAGTTAGCTTCCTTCCAGTTTTCATCCTGGGATATTCCCTTTATTGCAATTGACCTCAAAGAGCTCACAAATGTCCATTCTCAGAAAGGACAAAAATAGTGTTTGCACACTACTGAATTCACAGAAAGACTGAACTCTGTGAGATGAATGCACACATCAGAAAGCAGTTTGTCAGAAAGCTTCTACTTTTCATCTGAAGATATTTCCTTTTTCCCCATAGGCCTCAAATCGCTCCCAAATATCCCTTTGCAGATTCTATGAAAACAGTGTTTCCAAACTGCTGAGTGAAAAGAAAGGTTTATCTCTGAGAGATGAATGCACACATCACAAAGCGGTGTCTCAGATAGCTTCTTTCCAGTTTTTTCCCTGTGATATGCACTTTTTCACCTATGTCCTTAATGAGCTATCAAATTTGCCTTTGCAGATTTTACAAAAACAGTGTTTCCAACCTGCTGAATACAAAGTTTTAACTCTGAGAGACGAATGAACACATGACAAAGCAGTTGTTCAGAAAGTTCCTTTCTATTTTTTATCTGAAGGTATTCCCTTTTTCAGCATAGGCCTCAATGCACTCCCAAATATCCCCTCACAGATTCTACCCAAACAGTGTTTCCAAACTGCTTAATGAAAAGAAAGGTTTATGACTGTGAAATTATTGCACAAATCACAAAAACGTTTCCTAGATAGGTTTTTCTAGTTTTTATCGTGGAATATTTGCTTTTTCACCACTGGTCTCAATGAGCTGCCAAATACCCATTCGCAGAATTGACAAAAACAGTGTTTCCAAACTGCTGAATCCAAAAAAGTTTTATCTTTGTGAGATGAATGCACACATCACAAAGCAGTTTCTCAGAAAGCTTCTTTCTAGTTGTAATCTGAAGATATTTTCTTTTTCACTGTAGATCTCAAAGTGCTCCCAAATATCCCTTTGCTGATTCTACCAAAAGAGTGCTTCCAAACTGCTGAGTGAAAAGAAATGTTTAACTCTGCGAGATGAATGCACACATAACAAGGCAGTTTCCCAGATAGCTTCCTTCTAGTTTTTATCATGGGATATTCACTTTTTCCCCTATAGCCTCAATTAGCCCCCAACTCTCCCTTCACAAATTCTACAACAACAGTCTTTGAAACTGCTGAATCCAAAGAAAGATTGCACACATCACAAAGCAGTTACTCTGAAAGCTTCTTTCTAGTTTTTATCTGAACATATTTCCTTTTTAACCATAGGCCTCAATGCACTCCCAAATATACTTTTGCAGATTCTACCAAAAAAATGTTTCCAAACTGCTGAATGAAAAGAAAGTTTCAACTCTGTGAGATGAATGTACACACTACAAGGTGGTTTCTCAGATAACTTCCTTCTAGTTTTTATCCTGGGATATTCCCTTTTTCCCTTTTAGCCTCAAAGACTTATCAAATATCCCTTCACAGATTCTAAACAATGAGTGTTTTGAAACTTCTGAATCCAAAGAAAGGTTTAACTCTGTGAGACGAATGCACACATCACAAAGCAGTTTCTCAGAAAGGTTCTTTCTAGCTTTTATCTAAAGATATCTCCTTTTTCACCAT
Organism: Homo sapiens; assembly: GCF_000001405.40. Taxonomy (NCBI): domain Eukaryota; kingdom Metazoa; phylum Chordata; class Mammalia; order Primates; family Hominidae; genus Homo; species Homo sapiens. Next base: position 54,821,985 of record NC_000011.10, on the reverse strand, counting down.
AGGCTTCAATGAGCTCCCAAATATCCCTTCATAGATTTTACTGAAACAGTGTTTCCAAACTGATGAATGAAAAGAAAGGTTTAATCACTGTGAGATGAATGAACACATCACACCATGGCTTGTATGATAGCTTCCTTCTGGTATTTATCCTGGGCTATTCACTCTTTTGGCCATGGCCTCAATGAGATATCATATATCCCTTTGCAAATCCTACAAAAGCAGAGTTACCAAAATTCTGAACCCAAAGAAAAGTTTTAACTTTGCTATGTGAATGCACACAACACAAAGCTGTTTCTCAGAAAGGTTCCTTCTAGTTTTTCTCTGAAGATATTTCCTTTTTCACCATAGGCCTCAATGCACTCCCAAATATCCCTTCTCAGATTCTACAAAAAAAGAATTTCCAAATTGTTGAATGAAAAGAAAGGTTGAACTCTGTGAGATGAATGCACACACAACGAGTTGGTTTCTCAGATAAATTCCTTCAAGGTTTCAGACTGGGATATTCACTTTTTTGCCATTGGCCTCAATGAGCTCCCAAATGTCCATTTGCAGAATGGACAAAAACAGATATTTTGGAGCTCATTGAGGCCATAGGTGATAAAGCAAATACACCAGGATAAAAACTAGAAGGAAGCTATCTGAGAAACCACTTTGTGATGTGTGAATTCATCTCACAGAGGTAAACCATTCTTTTCATTCCTCAGTTTGGAGACTGTTTTTGTAGAGTCTGCAAAGGGATATTTGGGTGCACTTTGAGGCCTATGGTGAAAAAGGAAATATCTTCAGTAAAAATTAGAAAGAAGTTTTCTGAGAAACTGCTTTGTGATGTGTGCACTCTTCTTATGGAGTTAAAGCTTTCTTTCCATTCCACAGTTTTGAAACACTGTTTTTGTAGAATCTGCGAAGGGATAATGGGAGATCCTTGAGGCCAAATACAAAAAAAAGAACATCCCAGGATAAAAGCTAGAAGGAAGCTATCTGAGAAACTGCTTTGTGAAGTGTGCATTCATCTCACAGAGTTAAAACTTTCTTCTCATTCAGCAGTTTTGAAACACTGTTTTGGTAGAATCTGTGAAGGGATATTTTGGTGTGCATTGAGGTCCATGGTGAAAAAGGAAATATCTTTAGATAAAAACTAGATAGAACCTTTCTGAGAAAAGCCTTTGTTGTGTGTGCATTCACCTCAGAGTTAAACCTTTCCTAGGATTCAGCAGTTTGGAAACACTGTTTATGTTTATTCTGCAAATAGACATTTTGGAGCTCATTGAGGCCAATGGCAGAAAAGAGGATATTCTAGGATTAAAAACTACAACAATCGTCTCTGAGAAACCACTTTGTGATGTGTGCATTCATCTCACAGATTTAAATCTTTCTTTTCATTCAGTGATTTGGAAACAGTGTTTTTGTAGAATCTGTGGAGGGATATTTGGCATTGCATAGAGGCCTATGTTTAAAAAGGAAATATCATCAGGTAAAAACTAGAAAGAAACTTTCTGAGAAACTACTTTGTGATGTGTACAGTGTGCACTTATCTGACAGAGTTAAACTTTTCTTTGGATTCAGCAGTTTGGTAACACTGTTTTTGTAGAATTAGCAAAGGGTTATTTGACAGCTCATTGAGGCCGTAGGCGAAAAAGTGAATATCTCAGGATAAATACTAGAAGGAAGCTATCTGAGAAACTGCTTTGTGATGTGTGCCTTCATCTCACAGTGATAAACCTTTCTTTTCATTCATCAATTTGGAAACACTGTTTCAGTAGAATCTGTGAAGGCATATTTCAGAGTGCACAAGAGCCTATGGTGGAAAAGGAAATACCTTCAGATAAAAACAAGAAAGAATATTTCTGAGAAACTGCTTTGTGATGTGTGCATTCATCTCAATGATTTAAAACTTTCTTTGGATTCAGCAGTTTGGAAACACTGTTTTAGGAGAATCTGCAAAGGTATATTTGGGAGCACATTGAGACCTACCGTGAAAAAGAAAATATCTTCAGATGAAAACCATAAAGAAGTTTTTTGAGAAACTGCTTTGTGATGTGTGCCTTCTTCTCACAGAGATAAACCTTTCTTTGGATATCAGTAGTTTGGAAACATTGTTTTTGTAGAATCTGCGAAGGGATATTTCTGAGCTCATTGAGGCCAAAGGCAAAAAAGCGAATATCCCTGGATAAAGAATAGAAGGAAACTATCTGAGAAACCGACATATGATGTTTGCATTGATCTCACAGATTTAAAATTTTCTTTTTAGTCAGCAGTTTGGAAACACTGTTTTTGTAGAACCTGCAAAGGATATTTGGAAGCACAGTGGGGCCTAATGTGAAAAAGGAAACACCTTAAGAAAAAAACATGAAAGAAGATTTCTGAGAAACTGCTTTGTGATGCGTGCATTCAGTTCAATGATTTAAAACTTTCTTTGGATTCAGCAGTTAAGAAACACTGTTTGTGTATATTCTGCAAAGCGGAACTTGGGAGCTCATGGAGGCCAATGGCAAAAAAGTGTATATCCCAGTATAAAAACTAGAAGGAAGCTATCTGAGAAAATGCTTTGTGATGTGTGTATCCATCTCACAGATTTAAACATTTATTTGGATTCAGTAGTTTGGATACACTGTTTTTGTAGAATCTGTGAATTAAAATTTGGGAGCTCTTTGAATCCGAAGGCAAAAAAGTTAATATCCCTGGATAAAAACTCAAAGGAAACAGAGAAACTGCTTTGTGATGTGTGCATTCATCTAGCAGATATAAAAATTTCTTCTCTTTCAGTAGGTTGGAAACACTGTTTTTGCAGAATCTCTGAAGGGATATTTGGAAGTGCATTGAGGCCTATGGTGAAAAAGGAAATATCTTCAGATAAACTCAAAAGAAGCTTTCTAAGAAACTGCTTTGTGATGGGTGCATTCCTCTCAAAGAGTTAAACCATTCTTCGGATTTAGCCGTTTAGAAACACTGTTTTTTTCCATTCTGTGAAAGGAGTTTTGGGAGCTAATTCTGGCCATTGGTGAAAAAGCGAATTTCCCAGGATAAAAACTAGAAGGAAGCTACCTGAGAAACACCCTTGTGATGTGTGCGTTCATCTTGCAGGATTAAACCTTTCTTTTCATTCAGCTGTTTGAAAACCTCTTTTGATACAATCTGTAAAGGGATATTTCAGAGCACATTGAGGTCTCTGGTAAAAAAACAAATATCTTCATATTAAAACTAGACAGAAGCATTCTGAGAAACTGCTTTGTGATGTGTGCATTCACCCTACAGAGTTAAAACTTTCTTTGCAATTCAGCAGTTTGGAAACACTGTTTTTATCAATTCTGTGAATGGACATTTGAGAGCTCATTGAGGCCAATGGCGAAAATGTGAATATGCCAGGATAAAAACTAGAAGAATGCTATTTGAGAAACTGCATTGTGATGTGTGCATTCATCTCACAGAAGTAAAACTTTCCTTTAATTAAGCATTTTGGAAACTCTGTTTTGGTAGAATATTCAAGGGATATTTGGGAGTGCTTTGAGTACTCTGGTGAAAAAGGAATATCTTCAGATATAAACTAGAAAGGAGCTTTCTGAGAAACTGCTTGGGGATGTGTGCATTCACCTCACTGAGTTAAACCTTTCCTTGGATTCAGCAGTTTGGAAACACTATTTTTGTCCATTCTGCGAATGGATATTTGGGAACTCATTGAGGCAAATGGTGAAAAAGTGAATATCCCATGATAAAAACTAGAAGGAAGTTATCTGAGAAACCGTTTGTGATGTGTGCATTCATCTCACAGAGTTAAACCTTCCTTTTCATTCAGCAGTTTGGAAACACTGTTTTGGTAGAATCCATAAAGGGATATTTGGGAGCTCATTGAGGCCTATGGTGAAAAAGGAAAACTTTTCAGATGAAAACTAGAAAAAAGCTTTCTAAGAAACTACTTTGTGATGTGTGCATTCATCTCACAGACTTAAAGCTTTCTTTGTATTCAATAGTTTGGAAACACTGATTTTGTAGGATCTGCGAATGGATATTTGGGAGCACATTGAGGCCTAGGTTGAAAAAGGAAATATCTTCAGATAAAAACTAGAAAGAAGCTTTCTGACAAACTGCTTTGTGATGTGTGCATTCAATTCATAGAGTTAAAACTTTCCTCGGATTTAGCAGTGTGGAAAAACTGTTTTTGTCCCTTCTGCGAATGGACATTTGGGAACTCATTGTGGCAAATGGCAAAAATGTGAATATCCCATGATAAAAACTAGAAGGAAGTTATCTGAGAAACCGATTGTTATGTGTGCATTCATCTCACACAGTTAAATATTTCTTTTCATTCAGCAGTTTGGAAACTGTTTTAGTAGAATCCATGAAGGGATATTTGGGAGCGCATTGAGGCCTATGGTGAAAATGGAAATATCTTCAGATGAAAACTACAAAAAAGCTTTCTAAGAAACTGCTTTGTGATGTGTGCATTCAATTCACAGAGTTAAATCTTACTTTGTGTTCAGTAGTTTGGAAACACTGATTTTATAGGATCTGTGAAGGGATATTGGGGAGCACATTGAGGCCTAGGTTGAAAAAGGAAATATCTTCAAAAAAAACTCAAAGGAAGCTTTCTGAGAAACTGCTCTGTGATGTGTGCATTCATCTCACAGAGTTAAACCTTTATTTGGATACTGCAGTTTGGAAACACTGTTTTTGCAGAATCTGTGAAAGGATATTAGATAGCTCACTGTGGCAAGAGGAGAAAGGGCAAATATCCCAGGATAAAAACTAGAAGGAAGCTATCTGAGAAAAGGATTTGTAATGTGTGCTTTCATCTTGGAGAGATACAAATTTCTTTTCATTCAGTGGTTTCGAAAGAATGGTTTAGTGGAAACAGTGAAGGGATATGTGTTAGTACACTGAGGCGTATGTTGAAAAAAGAAATATCTTCAGATGAAAACTAGAAAAAAGCTTTGTGAGAAACTGCTTTGTGATGTGTGCATTTATGTCACAGAGTTAAATATTTCTTTGCATCCAGTCGTTTTGAATCACTGATTTTGTAGAATCTGCAAAGGGATATTTTGGAACTCATTGAGGTCAATTTGAAAAAGCAAACATCCCTGGATAAAAACTCGAGGGAAGATATCTGAGAAACTGATTTGTGATGTGGCATTCATCTCACAGATGAAAAACTTCCGTTTCATTTAGTAGTTTGGAAACCCTGTCTTTATCCATTCTGTGAATATACATTTGGGAGCTCATTGAGACCAAAGGCAAAAAAGTGAATATCCCAGGATAAACACTAGGAGAAAGCTATATGAAAAAGTGCTTTGTGATGTGTGCATTCATTTCACAGAGTTAAATCTTTCTTTTCATTCAGCAATTTGGAAACACTGTTTTGGTACAATCTGCCAAGGGATATTTGAGAAAGCATTGAGGCCTATGGTGAAAAAGGAAATATCTTCAGATGAAAACTAGAAAGAAGATTTCTGAGAAACTGCTTTGTGATATGTGCCTTCATTTCACAGTGTTTAACTTTTCTTCTTTGGATATAGCAGTTTGGAAACATTGTTTTTGTAGAATCTGTGAAGGGATATTTGACAGCTCTTTGAAGCTATAGGCTAAAAAGTGAATATCCCAGGATAAAAACGAGAAGGAAGATATCTGAGAAAGTCCTTATGATATGTGCATTCATCTCACAGAGTTAAACATTACTTTTCATTCAAAAGTTTGGAAACACTATTTTGGTAGGGTCTGTGTAGGGATACTTCAGAGTGCATTGAGGTCTATGGTGAAAAAAAAATCTTCAGATAAAACTAGAAAGAAATTATCTGAGAAATGGCTTTATGATGTGTGAATTCATCTCACAGCATTAAACCTTTCTTTGGATTCAGTAGTTTGGAAACACTGTTTTTGTAGAATCTGTGAAGGATATTTGATAGCTCATTGAGTCCACAAAGGAAAAAGTGATTATACCAGGCTAAAAACTAGAAAGAAGCTGTCTGAGAAACCACCTTGTGATGTGTACATTCACGCAGTGAGTTAAATCTTTCTTTTCATTCAGAGGTTTGGAAACGCTATTTTGGTAGAATCTGGGAAGAGATATTTGGCAGAGCACTGAGACCTATGGTGACAAAGGAAATATCTTCAGATAAAAACTAGAAAGAAGGTTTCTGAGAAACTGCTTTGTGATGTGTGCATTCACCTCACAGAGTTAAGCCTTTCCTTGGATTCAGCAGTTTGGTAACACTGTTTTTGTTCATTCTGAAAATGGACATTTGGGAGCTCATTGAGGCCAATGGCAAAAAAGTGAATATCCCAAGATAAAAACTAGAAGGAAGCTATCTGAGAAAATGATTTCTCAAATGTCCATTCATCTCAAAGAGGTAAATCTTTCTTTGGATTCAGCAATGTGGAAACACTGTTGTTGTAGAATACACAAAGGGATATTTCAGTACTCATTGAAGCTAAAGTCAAAAAAGCAAATATCCCAGGATAAAAACTGGAAGGATCCTATCTGAGAAACCCAATTGTGATTTTTGCATTCATCTAGCAGAATTAAATATTTCTTTTCATTCAACAGTTTGTAAACACAGTTTTTGTAGAATCTGCAAAGGTATTTTTGGGACCACCTGGAGGCCTATATTGAAAAAGGATATATCTTCCAATAAAAACTAAGAAGAAGCTTTCTGAGAAACTGCTTTGTGATGTGTGCTTTCATCTCCCAGAGTTAAACCTTTCTTTGGGTTCGCAGTTTACAGTTTGGAAACACTGTTTTTGTCCATTATTTGAATGGACATTTGGGAGCTCCTTGAGGCTAATGGTGAAAGAGCGAATATCCCAGCATAAAAACTGGAAGGAAGCTACCTGAGAAACCATTTTGTGATGTCAGCATTCATCTTGCAGAGTTAAAAATTTCTTTGGATTCAGCAGTTTGGAAACACTGTTTTTGTCCATTCTGCAAATGGACATTTGGGAGGTCTTCGAGGTCAAAGGCAAAAAAGTGAATATTCCAGGATAAATACTGGAGTATTTATCCTGTAGAAGAAAGATCTGATAACCTACTTTGTGATGTGTGCATTCGTGTTGTCAAGTTAAACATTACTTTCCATTCAGCAGTTTGGAAACACGTTTTGTAGAATCTGTGAAGGGACATTTGGGTGCTAGTTGAGGCTATGGTGAAAAAGAAAATGTCTTCAGATAAACTAGAAAGAAGCTTTCTGAAAAACTGCTATGTTATGTGTGCATTCATAACAAAGAATTAAACCTTTCTTTGGATTCAGCAATTTGGAAACACTGTTTATGTAGAATCTGTGAAGGAATATTAAACGGCTCATTGAGGCCAAAGGTGAAAAAGCAAATATCCCAGGATAAAAACTAGAAGGAAGTTATCGAGAAATTGCTTTGTGATGTGTGCATTCATCTTGTAGAGTTAAACCTTTCTGTTCATTCAACAGTTAGGATACACTATTTTGGTAGTATCTGCGAAGGTATATTTGGGAGAACATTGGAGCATATGGTGAAAAAGGAAATATCTTCAGATGAAAACAAGAAAGAAATTTTCTGAGAAACTGCTTTGTGATGTGTGCATTCATCTCACAGAGTTAAAATTTCTTTGGATTCAGTTTTTTGAAACACTGTTTGTGTAGAGTCTGCGAAAAGATATTTGGGAGCTCATCCAGCCCAAATAAGAAAAAGTGAATACTGATGGGTAGTAACTAGAAGGAAGCTTTCTGAGAAATGGCTTTGTGATGTGTGCATTCATCTCACACAGTTAAACATTTCTTTTCATTCAGCAGTTTGAAAACACGGTATTTGTTGAATCTGAAAGGGATATTTTGGAGCACATTGAGGTCTGTGGTGAAAAAGGAAATATCTTCATATAAAAACAAGAAAACAGCTTTTGGATTAACTGCTTTGTGATGCATGCATTCATCGCACAGTTAATCTATTCTTTAAATTCGGGAGCTTGGAAACACTGTTTGTGTCCATTCTGAGAATGGACATTGAGGAGTTTTTCAGGCCAATGGCAAAAAAGCAAATATTCTAGGATAAAAACTAGAAGGAAGCTATTTGAGAAACTGCTTTGTGATGTGTGCATTCATCTCTCAGTGTTAAAATTTTCTTTTCACTCAGCAGTTTGGAAAAACTGTTTTGACAGATCTGCAAAGGGATTTTTGGGAGCGTATTGAGCCTATGGTGAAAAAAGAAATATGTGCAGATAAAAACTAGAAAGAAGCTTTCTGAGAAACTGCTTTGTGATGTGTGCATTCATCCCACACAGTTAAGTCTTTCTTTGGATTCAGCAGCTTGGAAACAATGCTCTTGTAGAATCTGTGAGGGGATATTTGGGAGGTCATTGATGTGAAAGTCAAAAAAGGAAATATCCTCAGACAAAAACTTGACAGAAGTTTCTGAGAAAAGTTTCTTGGGATTCAGCACTTTGGAAACACGTTTTGGCAGAATCTGTGAAGGGATATTTGGGAGCACATTGAAGCCCATGTTGAAAAAGGAAATATTTTCAGATAAAAACTAGAAAGAAGCTTTCTGAGAAACTGCTTTGTGATGTGTGCTTTCAACTAACAGAATTCAACATTTCTTTGGATCAAAGTATGCAGTTTGGAAACAGTGTTTTTGTCCATTTGCAGAAATGGGGAGCTCCTTGAGGCTAATGGAGAAAGAGTGAATATCCCACAATAAAAACTGGAAGGAAGCTACCCAAGAAAAAACATTGTTATGTCTGCAATCATCTCACTGAGTTAAAACTTTCTTTTCATGCAGCAGTTTGGAAACACTGTTTTTGCAGAATCTATGAAGGGACATTTGGGAGCACACTGAGGCCTCTGGTGAAAAAGGAAATATATTCAGATAAAAACTAGAAATATGCTTTCTGAGAAACTGCCTTTTGATGTGTGCATTCATCTCACAGAGCTAAACCTTTCTGTGGATTCAGCAGTTTGGAAACACTGTTTTCGTTCATTCTGTGAATGGGCAATTGGGAGTTCATTGGGGCCAATGATGAAAGAGCAAATATCCCAGAATAAAAAATAGAAGGAAGCTATCTGAGAAACTGTTTTGTGATGTGTGCATTCATCTCACAGATTTAAAACTTTCTGTGGATTCAGTTGTTTGTAAACACTGTTTTTGTAGAATCTGCAAAGGGATATTTGGGAGCACATTGATGCCTATGGTGAAAAAGGATATATCTTCAGATAAAAACTAGAAAGAAGCTTTCTGAAAAACTGCTTTGTGATGTGTGCATTCATCTCAAAGAATTAAACATTTCTTTGGATTCAGCAGTTTGGAAATTTTTTTTTGCCAATTCTGTGAATGGACATTTGAGAGACCGTTGAGTCCGCAGGTGAAGAAACTAAATTCCCAGGATAAAAACTAGAAGGAAGCTATCTATCTGAGAAACCACTTTGTGATGTGTGCATTCACCTCTCACAGATAATTTTTTCTTTTCATTCAGGTGTTAGGATACAGTGTTTTGGTAGTATATGTGAAGGGATATTTGGGAGTGCATTTGGGCTTATGGTGAAAAGGGAAATATCTTCAGATGAAAAAAAGAAAGAAATTTTCTGAGAAATTGCTTTGTGATGTGTGCATTCATCTTCCAGTGTTAAATTTCTTTGGATTCAGTAGTTTGGAAATTTTGTTTGCGTAGAATACTTGAAGTGATATTTGGGAGCTCATTGAGGCCTAAGGTGTAAAAGTGAATATGCATGGATAAAAACTAGAAGGAAGCTTTCTGAGAAACCACTTTGTGATGTGTGCTTTCATCTCACAGAGTTAAACATTTCTTTGAATTCAGCAGTTTGGAAATACTGTATTTGTAGAATCAGCAAAGGGATATTTGGGAGCACATTGACCCCTATGGTGAAAAAGGAATTATCTTCAGATAAATATTCAAAAGAAGATTTCTGAGAAACTGCTTTGTGATGTGTGCATTCATCTTACAGAGTTAAACCTTTCTTTTCATTCAGCAATTTGGAAACACTGTTTTGGTAGTATCTACCAAGGGACATTTGAGAGTGTGTTGAGGCTTATGGTGAAAAAGGAAATATCTTCAGAAGAAAACGAGAAAGAAGCTTTCTGAAAAACTGCTTTGTGATGTTTGCATTCATGTCACAGCATTAAACCTTTCTTTAGGTTCAGTAGTTTGGAAACACTGTTTTTGTAGAATCTGCGAAGGGATATTTGGGAGTGCAATGAGGCCTATGGTGAAAAAGGAAATATCTTCAGATAAAAATGAGAAAGAAGCTTTCTGAAAAACTGCTTTGTGATGTTTGCATTCATGTCACAGCATTAAACCCTTCTTTAGGTTCAGTAGTTTGGAGACACTGTTTTTGTAGAATCTGCGAAGGGATATTTGGGAGCACAATGAGGCCTATGGTGAAAAAGGAAATATCTTCAGATAAAAACTAGAAATAAGCTTTCTGACAACCTGCTTTGTGATGTGTGCATTCATCTCACCGATTAAACCAGTTCTTTGGATTGAGCAGTTTGGAAACACTGTTTTTGTCCATGCTGCCAATGGACATTTTGGAGGTCATTGAGGCCAAATGCAAAAAAGGAAATATCCCAGTATAAACACTGGAAGAAACCAATCTGAGAAACCTCTTTGCTATGTGTCCATTCTTCTCACAGAGATAAACCTTTCTTTTTATTCAGCAGTTTAGAAACTGTGTTTGGGTAGTATCTGGGAAGGGATATTTGGGAGTGCATAGAGGCCCATGATGAAAAAGGAAATATCTTCAGATAAATACTGGAAAGAAGCTTTCTGAGAAACTGCTTTGTGATGTGTGTATTCATTTTACAAAGTTGAACTTTTCTTTGGATTCTGTAGTATGTAAACTCTTCTGGAATAATTTGGGAGCTCTCTGATGCCAAACGCAAAAAAGTGAATATCCCAGGATAAAAACTAGAAACAGGCTATCTGAGAAACTTCTTTGTGATGTGTGCTTTCATCTCGCAAAATTAAACATTTCTTTTTATTCAGCAGTTTGGAAACATTGTTTTGGTAGAATCTGTGAAGGGATATTTGCTAGAACATTGATGCCAATGGTGAAAAAGGAAATATCTTCAGATAAAAACTAGAAAGAATCTTCCTGGGAAACTGCTTTGTGATGTATGCATTCGTCTCATAGAGTTAAACTTTTCTTTGGGCTCGGCATTTTGGCAACACTGTATTTGTTCATTCTTCAAATGGACATTTGGTAGCTCATTGAGGTCAAAGGCAAAAAAGTGAATATCTCAGGATAAAAATTAGAAGGAAACTCTCTGAGAAACCAGTTTGTCATGTGTGCCTTAATCTTACAGAGTTAAATTTCCTTTTCATTTGGCAGGTTGGAAACATTCTTTTCATAGAATCTGCAAAGGAATATTTAGGAGTGCATTGAGGCCTGTGGTAAAATAGGAAATATCTTCAAATAAAAAGTAGAAAGAATCATTCCAACAAATTTCTTTGTGATGTTTGCATACATGCCACAGACTTAAAGCATTCTTTGGATTCAGCAGTTTGGAAACACTGTTTTTGTAGAATCTGCAATGTTATATTTTGTAGTTCATTGAGGCCATAGGGAAAAAAGCGAATATCCCAATATAAAAACTAGAAGAACTCTATCTGAGAAACTGCTTTGTGAAGTGTGCATTCATCTCAGAGAGGTAAACTTTTCTTTTCATTCAGCTGTTTAGAAACACTGTGTTGGCAGAATCTGTGAAGAAATATTTGGGTGTGCATTGAGGCCTAAGGTGAAAAAGGAAATATCTTCAGAAAAAAACCGGAATGAAGCTTTCTAAGAAACTGCTTTGCGATGTGTGCATTCATCTCACAGAGTTAAAACTTTCATTAGATTAACCACTTTGGAAACACTGTTTTTGTAGAATCTGTGAAGGAAGATTTTATAGCTCATTGAGGCCATAGGGGAAATACTGAATAACCCAGGATAAAAACTAGCAGGAAACTATCTGAGAAACCCTTTTATGATGTTGGCATTCACCTCTCAGAGTTATAACTTTCATTTCATTCAGCAGTTTGGAAACACCGTTTTGGTAGAATCTGCAAAGGGACATTTTTGAGTGCATTGAATCCTAAGGTGAAAAAGGAAATAACTTCCGATGAAAACTAGAAAGAAGCTTTCTTAGAACTGTTTTGTGATGTGTGCATTCATCTCACAATGTCAAACCTTTCTTTGGATTCAGTAGTGTGGAAGCACTGTTTTTGTAGAATGTGTGAAGGGATCTTTGGGAGTTCATTGAGGCCAAAGTTGAAAAAGTGAATATTCCCAGATAAAAACTAAAAGGAAGCTATCTGAGAGACTGCCTTGTGATGTGAGCATTCATCTTGCAGAGTTAAACCTTTCTTTTCATTCAGCAGTTTAGAAACTCCATTTTGGTAGAATCTGAGAAGGGATATTTGGGAGTTCAATGAGACCTATGGTGAATAACAAAATATCTTCAGACAAAAGCTAGAAAGAAGCTTTCTGAGAAACTGCTTTGTGATGTGTTCATTCATCTCACAAAGTTAAAATTTATTTTGATTCAGCAGTTAGGAAACACTGTTTTTGTCCATTCTGCAAATGAACATTTTGAGCTCATTGTGCACAATGGCGAAAAAGCATATATTCCAGGATAAAAACTAGAAGAAAGCTATCTGAGAAACCGATTTTTTATGTATGCATTCATCTCACAGAGTTAAAACTTTCTTTTCATTCAGCAGTGTGGAAACACTGTTTTTGTACAATCTGCAAAGGGATATTTGGGAGGAAATTGAGGCCTATTGTGAAAAAGGAAATATCTTCAGATAAAAACTAGAAAAAAATGTTTCTGAGAAACTACTTTGTGATGTGTACATTCATCTCAAAGTGGCAAACATTTCTTTGGATTCAGCAGTTTGGAAATACTGTTTTTGTAGAATCTGCGAAGGGATATTAAATAGCTCATTGGGGCCATAGGCGAAAAAGTGAATATCCTTGGATACAAACTAGAAGGAAGCTATCTGAGAAACTGTTTTGTGATGTGTGCATTCTTCTTGCAGAGTTAAACCTTTCTTTTCATTCAGCAGTTTGGAAACACTGTTTTTGTAGAATCTGCAAAGGGATATTTGGGAGCACTTTTAGGCCTAAAGTAAAAAGGAAATATCCTGAGATAAAAACTAGAAAGATTTCTGAGAAACTGCTTTGTGATGTGTGCATTCATCTCACAGAGTTAAAACCTTTGTTTGGATTCAGCAGTTTGGAAACACTGTTTTTGTCCATTCTGCGAATGGACATTTGAGAGGTCATTGAGGCTGAAGGTGAAATAGTGAATATCTCAGGATGATAACTAGAAGAAAGCTATCTGAGAAACCTGTTTGTGATGTGTGCATTCCTCTCACAGAGTTAAAGCTTTCTTTTCATTCAACAGTGTGGAACAACTGTTTTGGCAGAATCTGAAAGTGGATACTTTGTTGGGCATTGGAGCCTAGGTGAAAAAGAAAATATCTTCAGATAAAAAACAGAAAGAAGCTTTCTGAGAAACTGCTTTGTGATGTGGGCATTCATCTCATGGGGCCAAACATTTCTTTGGATTCATCTTTTTGGACACTCTATTTTTGTAGAATACATGAAGGACATTTGATAGCTCATTGAGGACATAAGGGAAAAGGAGAATAAACCAGGATAAAACTAGAACGAAGCTATCTGAGAAACTGCCTTGTTATGTGTGCATTCATCTCTAAGATTTAAACCTTTCTTTTCATCCAGCAGCTTGGAAACACTGTTTTGGTACAATCTATGAAGTGATATTTAGGATCGCATTGAAGCCTATGTTGAAATAGGAAATAACTTCAGTGAAAAGCTACAAAGTAGCTTCCTGAGAAACAACTTTGTGAAGTGCATTCATCTCACAGAGTTAAACTTTTCTTTGGATTCAGTAGTATGGAAACACTATTTCTGTGGAACTTGCGAAGGGATATTTGGGAGCTCATTGAGGCCAAAGACAAAAACGTGAATATCCCAGGATAAAAACCAAAGGAAGCTATTTAAGAAACCGCTATGTGATGTGGGCAGAATCCGCAAAGGGATATTTGGGAGCACATTGAGTCCTATGGTGAAAAAGGAAATATCTTCAGACAAAAACTCAAAAAAAACTTTCTGAGAAACTGCTGTGTGATGTGTGCATTCATCTCACAGATTGAAACATTTCTTTGTATTCAGCAGTTTAGAAACACTGCTTTTGTCCATTCTGCAACTTGATATTTAGGAGTTCACTGAGGCCAAAGGAGAAAAAACGAATATCCCAGGTTAAATCTAGAAGGAAGATATCTGAGAAAATGCTTTGTAAAGTGTGCATTCATCTCACAAAGTTAAGCCTTTCTTTTCATTCAGTAGTGTGGAAACATTGTTTTGGCAGAATGTATGAAAAGGTACTTGGGTGCTCATTCAGGCCTATCGTGAAAAAGTAGTATCTTCACATAAGAGTAGAAAGAAGCTTTCTACTGCTTTTAGATGAGTGCATTCATCTCACAGAGTCAAAACTTTCTTTGGATTCAGCAATTTAGAAAAACCGTTTTTGTAGAATCTGTGAAGGCATATTTTATAGCTCATTGAGGCCATAGGCCAAAAAGTAAATATTCCAGGATAAAAACTAGTAGGAAGCTATCTGAGAAACCGCTTTGGATGTATGCATTCATCTCGCATAGTTAAACCCTTCTTTACACTCAGCAGTTTGGAAATACTGTTTTGGAATAAACTGTGAAGGGATATTTGGGAGTGCATTGAGACCTATGGTGAAAAAGGAAATATATTCAGATGAAAACTAGAAAGAATCTTTCTGAGAGACTGCCTTGTGATGTGTGCATTCATCTGACAGAGTTAAACATTTCTTTGGATTCAGTAGTATGGAAACACTGTTTTTGTCCATTCAGTGAATGGACATTTTTGAACTCATTGAGGTCAAAGGTGAAAAAGTGAATATCCCAGAATAAAAACTAGAAGAAACCTGTCTGAGAAACCGTTTTTTGGTGTGTGCATTCATCTCGCTGAAATAAACCTTTCTTTTCATTCAGCAATTTGGAATCACTTTTTTGGTAGAATCGCAAAGGGATATTTGGGAGCATATTGAGGTTTTGGTGAAAAAGGAAATATCTTCAGATAAAAACTAGAAAGAAGCATTCTGAGAAACTGCTTTATGATGTGAGCATTAATCTAACAGAGTTAAACTTTTCTTAGCATTCGGTAGTTTGGAAACACTTTTTGTAGAAACTGTGAAGAGATGTTTGACAGCTCTTTGAGGCCATAGGGGAAAAAGAGAATATCCTAGGATAAAAGCTTGATGGAAGCTATCTGAGGAACCACCTTGTGATATGTGCATTCATCTCTCAGGGTTAAACCTTTCTTTTATTCAGCAGTTTGGAAACACTGTTTTGGTAGAATTTGCAAAGGTATATGTGGGAGCGCATTCAGGCCAATTGTGAAAAAGGAAATATCTTCTGATGAAAATTATAAAGAAGCTTTCTTAGCAACTGCTTTGAGATATGGGCATTCATCTCACTGAATTAAACCTTACTTTGGATTCAGCAGTTTGGAAACACTGTTTTTGTAGAATCTGCAAAGGTATATTTGGGAGTTCATTGAGGTCAAAGGCAAAAAAGTGAATATCCCTGAATAAAAACTCGAAGGAAGCTATCTGAGAAACCGCTTTGTCATATGTGCATTAATGTCACTGATATAAACGTTTCTTCTCATTCAGCAGTTTGGAAACACTGTTTTTGTAGAGTCTGCAAAGGGATATTAGATAACTAATTGAGACCATAGGCGAAAAGGTGAATATCCCAGGATAAAAACTAGAAGGAAGCAATTTGAGAAACCGCTTTATGATGTTTCCATTCATCTTGCATAGTTAAACCTTTCTTTCATTCAGCTGTTTGGAAACACTCTATTAGTATAATCTACAAATTGAAATTAGATAGGTCATTGAGGCCATCGGTGAAAAAGTGAATATCACTGAATAAAAACTAGAAGGAAGCTATCTGAGAAACCACTTTGTGATATGTCCATTCATCTCGCAGAATTAAACCTTTCTTTTGTTTTGCAGTTTGGAAATCAGTTTTGGCAGAATCTTCAAAGGGATATTTGGGAGCACTTTCAGGCCTATGGTGAAAAATGAAATATCTTCAGACAAACACTTGAAAAACCTTTCTGAGAAACTGCTTTGTGATGTGTGCATTCATTTCACAGTGTTAAACTTTCTTTGGATTCATCAGTTTGAAAACACCATTTTTGTAGAATCTGAAAATTTATATTAGACAGCTCATTGAGGACATAGTTGAAAAAGCGACTATCACAGAATAAAAATGAAGGAAGCTGTATGAGGAATTGCTTTGTGATGTTTGCATTAAACTCGCAGAGTTAAATCTGTCTTTTCATTCAGCAGTTTGGAAACACTGTTTTGGTACAATCTGTGACAGGACATTTGGGAGGTCATTGAGGCCAAAGGCGAAAAAGTGAACATTTCAGGAGAAAAACTAGAAGAAATCTTTCTGAGAAACAGCTTTGTGATCTGTGCATTCATGATGCAAAGATAAAACTTTCTTTTCATTCAGCAGATAGGAAACACTGTTTTTGTAGAATCTGCAAAGGGATATTAGATTGCTCATACAGGCCATAGGTGAAAAAGTGAATATCCCAGGATAAAAACTAGAAGGATGCAAGATGAGAAACATCTTTGTGAGGTTTGCATTCAGCTCACAGAGGTAAACCTTTCTTTTCACTCAGCATTTTGGAAACACTGCTGTGGTAGAATATGTGAAGGTATATACGGGAACACATTGATGCCTATGGTGCAAAAGGAAATATCTTCAGATTAAAAACTAGAAAGAATCTTTCTGAGAAACTGCACTGTGATGTGTGCATTCCTCTCACAGAGTTAAACCTTTCTTTGGATTCAGCAATTTGGAAACACTCTTTTTGTCTATTCTGTGAATGGACATTTGGGAGCTCATTGAGGCCAACGGCAAAAAAGTGAACATCCAAGGATAAAATCTAGAAGGAAGCAATTTGAGAAAAAGCTTTGTAACGTGTGCACTCATCTCCCAATGTTAAATCTTTATTTGGGTTCAACAGTTTGGAAATGCTGTTTTTGTTGATTCAGTGAATGGACACTTGGGAGCTCACTGAGGCCAAAGGGGAAAAAGTGAATATCCCAGGATAAAAAATAGAATGAAGCAATCTGAGAAACCACTTTGTTATATGTGCATTCATCTCTCAGAGTTAAACCTTTCTTTTCATTCAGCAGTTTGGAAACACTGTTTTGCTACAATCTGTGAAGTGATATTTAGGAGCACATTGAGGCCTCTGGTGAAAAAGGAAATATCTTCAGATAAAAACTAGAAAGAAGATTCATTAGAAAGTGCTTTTTGATGTGTGCATTCATCTCACAGATTTAAAATTTCTATGGATAAAGCAGTTGGAAATACTGTTTTTACACAATCTGTGAAGGGATGTTTTATTGATCATTGAGGCTATATGTGAAAAAGATAATGTCCCAGGATAAAAACTAGAAGGGAGCTATCTGAGATATGGCTTTGTGATGTGTGCATTCATCTTGAAGAGTTAAATCCTTCTTTTCACTCAGAAGTTTGGAAACACTCTTTGGGTAGAATCTTCTAAGGGATATTTGGGAGCTCATTGAGGCTTATAGTGGAAAAGGAAATATCTTCAGATAAAAACTAGAAAGAAGCTTTCTGAGAAACTGCTTTGTGATGAGTGCATTCATTTCACAGAGTTAAACCTTTCTTTAGATTCAGCACTTTGGAAACACTGTTTTTGTGCTTTCTGCAAATGGACATTTTGGAGGTCATTGAGGACAAAGGCAAAAAAGGAAATATCCTAGGATAAAAACTAGAAGAAACCTATCTGAGAAACCGCCTTGTGATGTGTGTATTAATCTGGCCGTGTTAAACCTTTCTTTTCATTCACCATTTGGAAACATCGTTTTCGTAGAATCTTTAAAGGGATATTTGTTAACACATTGACTCCTATGGTGAAAAAGGAAATAACTTTAGATGAAATCTGGAAAGAATCTTTATGAGAAACTGCTTTGTGATGTGTGCATTCACCTCACAGATTTCAACCTTTCTTTAGATTCAACAATTTTGAAACACTGTTTTTGCAGAAACTACGAAGGGATATTTGATACCACTTTGAGGCCATAGGCTAAAAAGTAAATATCCCAGGATAAAAACGAGGCAGAAGATATCAGAGAAAGTGCTTGTGATGTGTGCGTTCATCTCACAGAGTTAAACCTTTCCTTTCATTCAGCAGTTTGAAACCACTATTATTGTAGAGTCTCTGACGCTTTCTCAGATAGCTTTCTTCTAGTTTTTATCCTGGGATATTTCTGTAGGGTTTCATTCCGAAACCCCACAACAGGCTCTAGTGTGTGATGTTCTCCTTCTGTGTACACGTGTTTTCATTGTTCAATTCCCACCAATGAGTGAGAATATGTGGTGTTTCGTTTTTTGTCCTTGTGATAGTTTGCTGAGAATGATGGTTTCCAGCTTCATCCATGTCCCTACAAAGAACATGAACTCATCATTTTTTATGGCTGCATAGTATTTCATGGTGTATATGTGACACATTTTCTTAATCCACTCTATCTTTGATGGACATTTGGGTTGGTTCCAAGTCTGCTATTGTGAATAGTGCCAGAACAAACATACGTGTGCATCTGTCTTCACAGCAGCATGACTTATAATCCTTTGGGTATATACCCAGTAATGGGATGGTTGGGCCAAATGGTATTTCTAGTTCTGGATCCCTGAGGAATCGCCACAGTGACTTCCACAATGGTTGAACTAGTTTACAGTCCCACCAACAGTGTAAAAGTGTTCCTATTTCTCCACATCCTCTCCAGCATCTGTTGTTTCCTTTTTAATGATCACCATTCTAAATGGTGTGAGATGGAATTTCATTCTGGTTTTGATTTGTATTTCTCTGATGGCCAGTGATGATGGGCATTTTTTCATGTGTCTTTTGGCTGCAAAAATGTCTTCTTTTGAGAAGTGTCTGTTCATATCCTTCACTCACTTGTTGATGGGGTTGTTTGGTTTTTCCTTGTCAAATTGTTTGGGTTCATTGTAGATTCTGGATATTAGCCCTTCGTCAGATGAGCAGGTTGCAAAAATTTTCTCCCATTCTCTAGGTTGCCTGTTCACTCAGATGGTAGTTTCTTTTGCTGTGCAGAAGCTCTTTAGTTTAATTAGATCCCATTTGTCAATTTTGGTTTTGTTGCCATTGCTTTTGGCGTTTTAGACATGAAGTCCTTGCCCACGCCTATGTCCCGAATGCTATTGCCTAGGTTTTCTTCTAGGGTTTTTATGGTTTTAGGTCTAAAATTTAAGTCATTAATCCATCTGTAATTAATTTTCCTTTAAGGTATAAGGAAGGGATCCAGTTTCAGTTTTTTCCATATGGCTAGCCAGTTATCCCAGCACCATTTATTAAATAGGGAATCCTTTCCCCATTTCTTGTTTTTGTCAGTTTGTCAAATACTAGCTAGTTGTAGACATGTGGCACTATTTCTGAGGGCTCTGTTCTATTCGATTGGTCTATATCTCCGTTTTGATACCAGTACCATGCTGTTATTGTTACTGTAGCCTTGTAGTATAGTTTGAAGTCAGGTAGCGTGATGCCTCCAGCTTTTTTCTTTTCGCTAAGGATTGACTTGGGAATGCGGGCTCTTTTTTGGTTCCATATGAATTTTAAAGTAGTTTTTCCAATTCTGTGAAGAAAGTCATTGGTAGCTTGATGAGGCTGGCATTGAGTCTATAAATTAACTTGGACAGTAAGGCCATTTTCATTATATTGATTCTTCCTACCCATGAGCATGGAATGTTCTTCCATTTGTTTGTATTCTCTTTTATTTCATTGAGCATTTGGTTGTAGTTGTCCTTGAAGAGGTCCTTCACATCCCTTGTAAGTTGGATTCCTTGATATTTTATTCCTTTGAAGCAATTGTGAATGAGAGTTCACTCATGATTTGGCTCTCTCTTTATCTGTTATTGGTGTATAAGAATGCCTGTGATTTTTGCACATTGATTCTGTATCCTGAGATTTTGAAGTTGAAGTTGAAGTAACCTGAGATACTGAAGTTGCCTATCAGCTTAAGGAGATTTTGGGCTGAGACAATGGGCTTTTCTAGATATACAATCATGTCATCTGCAAACAGGGACAATTTTACTTCCTCCTTTCTTAATTGAATACCCGTTCTTTCCTTCTTCTGCCAGTTTGCCGTGGCCAGAACTTCCAACACTGTGTTGAACAGGAGTGGTGAGAGAGGGCATCCCTGTCTTGTGCCAGTTTTCAAAGGGAATGCTTCCAGTTTTTGCACATTCAGTATGATATTGGCTGTGGGTTTGTCATAAATAGCTATTATTATTTTGAGATACGTCCCATCAATACCTAATTTATTGAGAGTTTTTAGCATGAAGGGCTGTTGAATTTTGTCAAATGCCTTTTCAGCATCTATTAAGATCGTCATGTGGTTTTTGTCATTTGTTCTGTTTATATGCTGGATTATATTTATTGATTTGCATATGTTGAACCAGCCTTGCATCCCGGGGACAGAGCCCAATTGATCATGGTGAATAAGATTTTTGATGTGCTGCTGGATTCGGTTTGCCAGTATTTTACTGATGATTTTTGCATCGATGTTCATCAGGGATATTGGTGTAAAATTCTCTTTTTTTGATTGTGTCTCTGCCAGCCTTCAGTATCAGGATGATGCTGGGCTCATAAAATGAGTTCGGGAGGATTCCTTCTTCTTATATTGATTGGAATAGTTTCAGAAGGAATGGTACCAGCTCCTCTTTGTACCTCTGCAAAAATTCGGCTGTGAATCAGTCTGGTCCTGGACTTTATTTGGTTGGTAAGCTATTAATTATTGCCTCAATTTCAGAGCCCGTTATTGGTCTATTCAGAGATTGAACTTCTTCTTGGTTTAGTCTTGGGAGTGCATATGTGTCGAGGAATTTATCCATTTCTTCTAGATTTTCTAGTTTATTTGCACAGAGGCATTTAGACTATTCTCTGATTGTAGTTTGTGTTTCTGTGGGATTGTTGGTGATATCCCCTTTATCATTTTTTATTGCGTCTATTTGATTCTTCTCTCTTTTCTTCTTTTTTAGTCTTCCTAGCGGTCTATCAATTTTCTTGATCTTTTCAAAAAACCAGCTCCTGGATTCAATGACTCTTTGAAGGGTTTTTTGTGTCTCTATTTCCTTCAGTTCTGCTCTGATCTTAGTTATTTCTTGCTTTCTGATAGCTTTGGAAGGTGTTTGCTCTTGCTTCTCTAGTTCTTTTATTTGTGATGTTAGGCTGTCAATATTAGATCTTTCCTGTTTTCTCTTGTGGGCATTTAGTACTATAAATTTCCCTCTACACACTGCTTTGAATGTGTCCCAGAGATTCTGGTATGTTGTGTCTTTGTTCTCATTGGTTTCAAAGAACATCTTTATTTCTGCCTTCATTTCGTTATATACCCAGTAGTCATTCAGGAGCAGGTTGTTCAGTTTCCATGTCATTGAGCAGTTTTGAGTGAGTTTCTTAATCCTGAGTTCTAGTTTGATTGCACTGTGGTCTGAGACACAGTTTGTTATAATTTCTGTTCTTTTACCTTTGCTGAGGAGTGCTTTACTTCCAACTATGTGGTCAATTTTGGAATAGGTGTGGTGTGATGCTGAAAAGAACATATATTCAGTTGACTTGAGCTGGAGAGTTCTGTAGATGTCTATTAGGTCCGCTTGGTTCAGAGATGAGTTCAATTCCTGGGTATCCTTGTTAACTTTCTGTCTCGTTGATCTGTCCAATGTTGAGAGTGGGGTGTTAAAGTCTCCCGTTATTATTGTGTGGGAGTCTAAGTCTCTTTGTAATTCTCTAAGTACTTGCTTTATGAATCTGTGTGCTCTTGTTTTCGGTGCATGTATATTTAGGATAGTTAGCTCTTTTTGTTGAATTGATCTCTTTACCATTATGTAATGGCCTTCTTTGTCTCTTTTGATCTTTGTTGGTTTAAAGTCTGTTTTATCAGAGACTAGGATTGCAACCCCTGCCTTTTTCTATTTTCCGTTTGCTTGGTAGATCTTCCTCCATCCCTTTATTTTGAGCCTATGTATGTCTCTGCACATGAGATGGTTTTCCTGAATACAACACACTGATGGGTCTTGACTCTTTATCCAATTTGCCAGTCTGTGTCTTTTAATTGGAGCATTTAGCCCATTGACATTTAAGGTTAATATTGTTATGTGTTAATTAGATCCTGTCATTAAGATGTTAGCTGGCAATTTTGCTCATTAGTTGATGCAGATTCTTCCTATCCTCGATGGTCTTTACAATTTGGTATATTTTTGAAGTGGGTGATACTGACTGTTCCTTTACATGTTTAGTGCTTCCTTCAGGAGCTCTTTTAGGGCAGGCCTGGTGGTGACAAAGTGTCTCAGCATTTGCTTGGCTGTAAAGGATTTTATTTCTCCTTCACTTGTGAAGCTTAGTTTGCCCAGAAATGAAATTCTGGGTTGAAATTTCTTTCCTTTAAGAATGTTGAATATTGGCCCCCACTCTCTTCTGGCTTGTAGAGTTTCTGCCGAGAGATCAGTTGTTAGTCTGATTGGCTTCCCTTTGTGGGTAACCCGACATTTCTCTCTGGCTGCCCTTAACATTTTCTCTTTCATTTCAACTTTGGTGAATCTGAGAATTATGTGTCTTGGAGTTGCTCTTCTCAAGGAGTATCTTCTTGGCACTCTCTGATTTTCCTTAATTTGAATGTTGGCCTGACTTGCTAGATTGGGGAAGTTCTCCTGGATAATATCCTGCAGAGTGTTTTCCAACTTGGTTCCATTCTCCCCATCCCTTTCACTTACACAAATCAGACGTAGATTTGGTCTTTTCACATAGTCCCATATTTCTTGGAGGCTTTGTTCATTTCTTTTTATTCTTTTTTCTCTAAACTTCTCTTCACGCTTCATTTCATTCATTTGATCTTCCAGGACTGATACCCTTTCTTCCAGTTGATTGTATCAGCTACTGAGGCTTGTGCATTCATCTAGTAGTTTTCTTGCTATAGTTTTCAGCTCCATTAGGTCCTTTAAGGACTTCTCTGCATTGGTTATTCTAGTTAGCCAGCCATTTGACTAATCTTTTTTCAAGGTTTTTAACTTCTTTGCCATGGGTTCGAACTTCCTCCTGTAGCTCAGAGTAGCTTGATCATCTGAAGACTTCTTCTGTCAACTTGTCAAAGGCATTCTCCATCCGGATTTATTCTGTTGCTGGTGAGGAACTGTGTTCCTTTGGACGAGGAGAGGTACTCTGATTTTTAGAGTTTCCGTTTTTCTGCTCTGCTTTTTCCCCCATCTTTGTGGTTTTATCTACCTTTGGTCTTTGATGATGGTGACATACAGATGGGGATTTGGTGTGGATGTCCTTTCTATTTGTTTGTTTTCCTTCTAACAGTCAGGACCCTCAGCTGCATGTGTGTTGGAGTTTGCTGGAGGTCCACTCCGGACCAAGTTTACCTGGGTATCAGCCGCAGAGGCTGCAGAACAGCTAATATTGGTGAACCGCAAATATTGCTGCCTGATTTTTCCTCTGGAAGTTTTGTCACAGAGCTGTACCCTGCCATGTGAGGTGTCAGTCTGCCCTTACTGGGGGGTGCCTCCCACATAGGCTACTCGGGTGTTAGGGGCCTACTTGAAGAGGCAGTGTGTGTGCATTCTTAGATCTCAAGGTGTGTGCTGGGAGAACCACTACTCTCTTTGAAGCTGTCACACAGGAACATTTAAGTCTGCAGAGGTTTCTGCTGCCTTTTGTTTGCCTATGCCCTGCCCCAAGAGGTGTAGTCTACAGAGACAGGAAGGCCTTCTTGAGCTGTGGTGGGCTCCACCCCGTTTGAGCTTCCTGGCCGCTTTGTTTACCTACTCAAGCCTCAGCAATTGCGGGCACCCCTCACCCAGCCTTGCTGTCGCCTTGCAGTTTGATCTCAGACTGCTGTGCTAGCAATGAGTGAGGCTCTGTGGGCATAGGACCCTCCAAGCCATGCACAGAATATAATCTCCTGGTGTGCCGTTTGCTAAGACCATTGGAAATGTACAGTATTAGGGTGAGAGTGACCCAATTTTTCTGGTGCCATCTTTCACTCCTTTCTTTGACTTGGAAAGGGAATTCCCTGACCCCTTGTGCTTCCCAGGTGAGGAGATGCCTTGCCCTGCTTCGGCTCATGCTCGTTGCACTGCACCCACTGTCCTGCACCAACAGTCCGACAATCCCCAGTGAGATGATCCCAGTACCTCAGTTGGAACTGCAGAAATCTCCCGTCCTCTGCATCACTCATGGTGGGAGCTGTGGACTGGAGCTCTTCCCATTCGACCTTCTTGGCTCCACCCAGAAACAATGTTTTTATATAACCTGTGAAGAGATATAAAATAGTGCATTAAGGCCTTAGGCGAAAAGGAGAATATCTCAGGATAAATGTTAGAAGGAAGCTATCTGGGAAACTGCTTTATGATGTGTGTATTCATCTCAAAGACCTAAACCTTTCTTTTCATTCAGCAGTTTGGGAACACTGTTTTTGTAGAATCTGCCAAGGGATATTTGATACCTTGTTGAAATCATAGGTGAAAAAGTGAATATCCAAAGATAAGAACTAGAAGGAGGCTATCTGAGAAATGACTCTGTGATGTGTGCATTCATCTCACAGAGTTAAACCTTTCTTTTCACTCATCAGTTTGAAGACACTGTTTTGTAGAATCTGCTAAGAGATATTTGGGAATGCATCGAGGCATATGGTGAAAAAGGAAATATCTTCAGATAAAAACCATAAAAAAGCATTCTGAGAAACTGCTTAGTGATTTGAGTATTCATCTCACAGAGTTAAAACTTTCTTTGGATTGAGCAGTTTGGATTGCTTTTTTTGTCCATTCTGCAAATGGACATTTTGGAGCTCATTGAGGCCAGAGACAAAAAAGTGAATATCCTAAGATAAAAACAAAAAGAAAGCTATCTGAGAAACTTCTTTGTGTTGTGTGCATTCATCTCACAGAGCTAAACCTTTCTTTTTCATTCAGCAGTTTGGAAACACTGTTTTGGTAGAATCTGTGAAGGGATATTTGGGAGGGCACTGAGTCCTATGGTGAAAAAGTAAATATCTTCAGATGAAAACTAGAAAAAAAGCTTTCTGAGAAACTGCTTTGTGAAGTATGCATACATCTCAGAGAGATAAAACTTTCTTTGGATTCACTCGTTTGGAAACAGTGTTTTTGGAGAATCTGCGAAGGGATATTTGGGAGCTAACTGAGGTGAAATGCGAAAAAGTAAATATTGCTGAATTAAAAACCGGAAGGAAGCTATCTGAGAAACTTCATCATGATGGGTGCATTCATCTTGCTGATATAAACTTTTCTTTTCATTTAGCTGTTTGGAAACACTGTGTTTGTAGTGTCTGTGAAGGGATATTTAGGAGTGCATTGAGGCCTATGCTGAAAAAGGAAATATTTTCAGCTAAAACAAGATAGAATCTTTCAGTGAAAGTGCTTTGTGTTGTGTGTGTTTGTCTCACAGAGTTAAACTTTTCCTTGGATACAGCAGTTTGGAAAGGCTGTTTTAGTAGAATCTGTCAAGGGATATTACATAGCTCATTGAGGCCATAGGCAAAAAAGTGACTATCCCAGGATAAAAACTAGAAGGAGGCTATCAGGGAAACTGCCTTATTAAGTGTTGCATTCAGCTCCCAGAGTTAACCTTTCTTTTCGTAAAGCAGTTTGGAAACACTGTTTTTGTAGAATCTGCAAAAAGGTATTTGGCAGCACATTGAGGTCTTTTATGAAAAAGGAAATATCTTCAGATAAAACTAGAAAGAAAGTTTCTAAGAAACTGCTTTGTGATGTGTGCATTCATCTCACAGAGGTAAACCTTTTTTCAGATTCAGCAGTTTGGAAGCACTGTTTTTGTCCATTCTGTTAATGGACGTTTGAGATCTCATTGAGGCCAAAGGTGAAAAAGTGAATGTCCCAAGATAAAAACTGGAAGGAACCTATCTGAGAAACTGCTTTGTGATGTATGCAGTCATCTCACAGAGTTAAACATTTCTTTTCATTCAGCAGTTTGGAAGCCCTGTTTTGGTAAAATCTTTTAAGAGATACTGGGGAGTGCTTTGAGGTCTCTGGTGAAAAGGAAATTCCTTTATATGAAAACTACAAAAAAGCTTACTGATAAACTGCTTTGTGATGTGTGCATTCTTCTCACCAAGTTAACCTTTCTTTTCTTTCAGCAGTATGGAAACTTTATTTATGTAGAAAGTGTAAAGGGATATTTGGGAGCGCTTTGTGGTCTATGGTGAAAAAGGAAATATCTTCAGATAAATATTTGAAAGAAGCTCTCTGAGAAACTGCCTTGTGATGTGTGCCTTCATCTCACAGAGTTAAAAATTTCTTTGCATTCAGCTCTTCAGAAATAATCTCTTTTGTCAATTCTGTGAATGGACATTTGGGAGCTCATTCAGGCCAATTGCAAAGAGTGAATACCCCATGATAAAAACCAGAAGGAAGCCATCTGAGAAACCACTTTGTGATGTGTACATTCATCTCACAGAGAAAAATTCTTTTCATTCATCAGTTTGGAAACACTGTTTTTGTAGAATATGTGAGGGGATATTTGGGAGCTCATTGAGGCCTATGGTGAAAAAGGAAATATCTTCAGATAAAAACTAGAAAGAAGATTTGTCAGAAACTGCTTTGTGATGTGTGCATTCATCTCACAAAGAAAAACCTTGGTTTGGATTGAGCAGTTTGGAAACACTGTTTTTGTAGAATCTGTGAAGGAATATTTGGAAGTGACTTTAGGCCATAGGGGGAAAAGTGAGTATCCCAGGATAAAAATTAGAAGTAAGCTAACGGAGAAACCACTTTTTGATGCATGCATTCATCTCACTGAGTTAAACTTTTCTTGGGATTCAGCAATATGGAAACACTGTTTTTGTAGAATCTGTGAAGGAACATTTCTGAGTTCTTTGCTGCCAGTAGCAAAAAGGAGAATATCCCAGAAAACTAGACGGAAGTTATCTGAGAAACTGCTTTGTGAAGTGTGCATTCATCTTGCAGAGTTAAACCTGTCTTTTCATTCAGCAGTTTGGAAACACTGTTTTTGTAGAATCTGCGAAGGTATATTAGCAAGTGCATTGAGGACAATGGTGAAAAAGGAAATATCTTCAGATAAAACTAGAAAGAAGCCTTCTGAGAAAATGCTTTTTGATGTGTGCATTCATCTCACAGTGTTAAACCTTTCTTTGGATTCAGCAATTTGGAAACACTGTAGTTGTAGAATCTGCGAAGGAATATTTGGGAGTTCATTGAGGCCATAGGAGACAAAGCAAATATCCCAAGATAAAAACTAGAAGGAAGCTATCTGGGAATCCACTGTGTGATGTGTCCATTCATATCCCAGAGGTACGCTTTCTTTTCATTCTGGAGAATGGAAACACTGTTTTTGTCAATTCTGTGAATGGATATTTGGGAACACATTGAGGCCAATGGCAAAACAGCAAATATTCCAGGAGAAAAACTAGAAGGAAGCTATCTGAGAAACTGCTTTGTGATGAGTGCATTCATTGCACAGAATTAAACCTTTCTTTAAATTCAGCAGTTTGGCTATACTGTTTATGTAGACTCTTCAAAGGGATGTTTTATAATTTATTGATGCCAAAGGCAAAAAGGTGAATATCACAGCATAAAAACTAGTAGGAAGCTATCTGAGAAACCACTTTGAGATGTGTGCAATCATTTCACAGAATTAAAACTTTCTTTCCAATTCAGCAGTTTGGAAACACTGTTTTGGTAGAATCTGTGAGGGAATATTTGGGAGCCCATGGAGGCCTATGGTGGAAAAGGAAATATCTTCAGATAAATACTAAAAAGAAACTTTCTCAGAAACTGCTTTGTGATGTGTACATTCATCTCACGGAGTTAAAACTTTCTTGGAGTTCAGCAGATTGGAAAAACTGTTTTTGTACAAACTGCAAAAGCATATTTGATAGCTCATTGAGGCCAAAACTAAAAAGTGAATATCACAGAATAAAAACTAGAAAGAAGCTATCTGAGAAGCTACTTTGTGGTGTGTGCATTCATCTCAAAGAGCTTAAACTTTCTTTTCATTCAGCAGTTTGGAAACACTGTTTTGTTATAATCTGTGAAGGTATGTTTGGGAGCGCACTGAGGCCAGTGGTGAAAAAGGAAATATCTCCAAATAAAATCTAGAAAAAATCTTTCTGAGGAACTGCTTTGTTATGTGTGCACTCATGTCACAGAGTTAAAACTTTCTTTGGATTCAGCTGTTTGGAAACACTGTTTTTGTAGAATCTGTCAAGGTATATTTGGGAGCTCATTGAGGTCAAAGAGAAAAGTGAATATCCCAAGATGAAAACTAGAAGGAAGCTATCTGAGAAACCGTTTTGTAATGAGTGCATTCATCGCAGAGTTAAGCATTGCTTTTCATTCAGCAGTTTGGAATCACTGCTTTTGTAGAATCTGCAAAGAGATATTTGGGAGTGCATTGAGTCCTATGATGAAAAAGGAAACATATTCTGACAAAAAGAAGAAAGAAGCTTTCTGAGAAAATGCTTTGTGGTGTGTGCATTTATCTCACAGTGCTAAAACTTTGTTTGGTTTCAGCCGTTTGGAGAAACTGTTTTTGTCCATTCTGTGAATGGACATTTGGGAGCTCTTTGAGGCCAATGGTGAAAAAGCAAATATCCCAGGATAAAAACTAGAAGGAAACTATCTGAGAAACAGCATTGTGATGTGCTCATTCATCTCACAGTGTTAAAACTTTCTTTTCATTCAGTAGTTTGGAAACACTGTTTTGATAGAATCTGTGAAGGGATATTTGAAAGCTCATTGAGGCCATAGGTGAAAAAGCCTATATCCCAGGATAAAAATTAGAAGGAAGTTATCTTACAAACCGCTTTGAGATGTGTCCATTCATCTCACAGAGTTAAACCTTTTATTCAGCAGTTTGGAGACCATGTTTTTGTATAATCTGTGAAGGGATATCTGTGATTGCATGGAATCCTATGCTGAAAAAGGAAATATCTTTGGATACTGACTAGAAAGAAGCTTTCTGAGAAACTGCTTTGTGATGTGTACATTATTCTCACATAGTTAAAACTTTCTTGTGATTCAGCAGTTTAGAAACACTGCTTTGTAGAATTTGTGAAGGGATATTTGATAGCTCATTGAGGCCACTGGTGAAAACTTGAACACCCCAGGATAAAAACTGGAAGGAAGCTATTTGAGAAACCTCTTAGTGATGTATGCGTACATCTCACAGAGTTAAACCTTTATTTTCATTCAGCTGTTTGCAAACACTGTTTTGGTAGAATCTGTGAAGCAGTATTTGGGAGAGCATTAGGACAATGGTGAAAAAGGAAATATCTTCAGATAACGACAAGCAAGAAGCTTTCTGAGAAACTGCTTTGTGATGTGTGCATTCATCTCACAGAGATAAATATTTCTTTGGATTCACCAATTCAGAAACACTGTTTTAGTAGAAACTGCAAGGGGGTATTTTGGTGCTCATTGAGGCCAAAAGTGAAAAAGGGAATATCCCAGGGTAAAAACTAGAAGGAAGCTATCTGAGAAACTGCTTTGTGATGTGGGCATTCACCTCGCAGAGTTAAACCTTTCTTTTCATTCAGCAGTTTGGAAAAACTGTTTTGTAGAATCTGCCAAGAGATTTTTGGGAGCTCATTGAGGCCTAAGGGGAAAAAGGAAAAGTCTTCAGATAAAAACTCAAAAAAACTTTCAGAGAAAGTACTTCTGGTTGTGTGCCTTTGACTCACTGAATTAAACCTTTCTTTGTATTCCATTGTTTGTAAACACAGTTTTTGAAGAATCAGTGAATGGATATTAGATTGCTCATTGGGTCCCTAGGTGAAAAAGTGAAAAACTTTAACCCTACATTCACCTCGTAGGGTTAAACCTTTTACTTCATTCAGCAGTTTGGAAACTGCTTTGGTAGAAACCTCAAAAGGATATTTGTGAGCGTATTGAGGACTAAGGTAAAAAAGGAAATATCTTCAGATAAAACTAGAAAGAAGCTTTTAGAGAAACTGCTTTGTGATGTGTGCATTCATTTTACCGAGATAAAACTTTCTTTGGATTCAGCAGTTTAGAAACACTGTTTTTGTCCAATCTGCGAATGGATATTTGGGAGCTCATTGAGGCCAATGGCAAAGAATCATATATCCCAGGATAAAAACTAGAAGGAAGCTATCTGAGAAAACTCTTTGTGATGTGTGCATTCATCTCACAGAGTTAAAACGTTGTTTTCATTCAGCAGTTTGGAAACTGTGTTTTTTTTTAATCTGTGAAGGGATATTTGAGAGCACATTGAGGCCTGTGGTGAAAAGGGAAACATCTTCAGATAAAAACTAGAATGAAGCCTTCTGAGAAACTGCTTTGTGATGTGTGCATTCATCTCTCAAATATAAACCTTTCTTTGGATTGAGCAGTTTGGAAACACTGTTGTAGAATCTGCCAACGGATATTTGGGAGAACATTGAGGCTTATGTTCCAAAAGGAAATATCTTCAGATAAAAACAAGAAATAAACTTTCTGAGAAACTTCTTTATGACGTGTGCATTCATCTTACAGAGTTAAACCTGTCTTTGGATTCAGCAGTTTGGAAACTCTGTTGTTGAAGGATGAGCGAAGGGAGAGTTGGGAGCTCATTGATTCCATAGGTGAAAAAATGAATATCATAAGATAAAAACATCACAGATTATACCAAAAGAGCTTTTCCAAACTGCTTAATAAAAAGAAAGTTTTAACTCTGTGATATGAATGCACACATCACCAACACTTTCTCAGAAACTTCTTTCTGGTTTCTATCTGAAGATATTTTATTTTCACCATAGACCTCAGAGCACTCTCAAAAATCCCATAGCAGATTCTATAAAAACAGTGTTTCCAAACTACTGAATGAAAAGAAAGGTATAACTCTGTGAGGTGAATGCACACATCACAAAGCAGTTTCTAAGATATCTTCCTGCTAGTTTTTATCCTGGAATAGTCTTTTTTTTTTTTGCCTTTGGCTTAATGAGATCTCAAATATCCCTTGACAGATCCAAAAGAAACAGGGTTTCCAAATTGCTGAATGAAAAGGAAGGTTTAATTCTGTGTGATGAATGCACACATCACAAAGCAATTTCTCAGATAGCTTCCTTCTAGTTTTTATCCTGGGATATTCACTTTTCTACCATTGGCCTCGATGCACTCCTAAATGTCCATTCACAGAATGGAAAGAAACAGTGATTCCAAACTTCTGAATACAAACGAAGATTTAGCTCTGTGAGACAAATACACACATCATGAAGCAGTTTGTCAGAAAGCCACTTTCTAGTTTTTTTTTATTATTATACTTTAAGTTTTAGGCTACATGTGCACATTGTGCAAGTTAGTTACACATGTATACATGTGCCATGCTGGTGCGCTGCACCCACTAACTCGTCATCTAGCGTTAGCATTGTTCAATTCCCACCTATGAGTGAGAATATGCGGTGTTTGGTTTTTTGTTCTTGTGATAGTTTACTGAGAATGATGATTTCCAATTTCATCCATGTCCCTACAAAGGACATGAACACATCATTTTTTATGGCTGAATAGTATTCCATGGTGTATATGTGCCACATTTTCTTAATCCAGTCTATCATTGTTGGACATTTGGGTTGGTTCCAAGTCTTTGCTATCGTGAATAATGCCGCAATAAACATACGTGTGCATGTGTCTTTATAGCAGCATGATTTATAGTCCTTTGGGTATATACCCAGTAATGGGATGGCTGGGTCAAATGGTATTTCCAGTTCTAGATCCCTGAGGAATCTCCACACTGACTTCCACAAGGGTTGAACTAGTTTACAGTCCCACCAACAGTGTAAAAGTGTTCCCATTTCTCCACATCCTCTCCAACACCTGTTGTTTCCTGACTTTTTAATGATTGCCATTCTAACTGGTGTGAGATGGTATCTCATTGTGGTTTTGATTTGCATTTCTCTGATGGCCAGTGATGATGAGCATTTTTTCATGTGTTTTTTGGCTGCATAAATGTCTTCTTTTGAAAAGTGTCTGTTCATGTCTTTCGCACACTTTTTGATGGGGTTGTTTGTTTTTTTCTTGTAAATTTGTTTGAGTTCATTGTAGATTCTGGATATTAGCCCTTTGTCAGATGAGTAGGTTGCAAAAATTTTCTCCCATTTTGTAGGTTGCCTGTTCACTCAGTTGGTAGTTTCTTTTGCTGTGCAGAAGCTCTTTAGTTTAATTAGATCCCATTTGTCAATTTTGGCTTTTGTTGCCATTGCTTTTGGTGTTTTAGACATGAAGTCCTTGCCCATGCCTATGTCCTGAATGGTAATGCCTAGGTTTTCTTCTAGGGTTTTTATGGTTTTAGGTCTAACATTTAACTCTTTAATCCATCTTGAATTGATTTTTGTATAAGGTGTAAGGAAGGGATCCAGTTTCAGCTTTCTACATATGGCTAGCCAGTTTTCCCAGCACCATTTATTAAATAGGGAATCCTTTCCCCATTGCTTGTTTTTCTCAGGTTTGTCAAAGATCAGATAGTTGTAGATATGCGGCGTTATTTCTGAGGGCTCTGTTCTGTTCCATTGATCTATATCTCTGTTTTGGTACCAGTACCATGCTGTTTTGGTTACTGTAGCCTTGTAGTATAGTTTGAAGTCAGGTAGTGTGATGCCTCCAGCTTTGTTCTTAAGGCTTAGGATTGCCTTGGCAATGCGAGCTCTTTTTTGGTTCCATATGAACTTTAAAGCAGTTTTTTCCAATTGTGTGAAGAAAGTCGTTGGTAGCTTGATGGGGATGGCATTGAATCTGTAAATTACCTTGGGCACTATGGCTATTTTCACGATATTGATTCTTCCTACCCATGAGCATGGAATGTTCTTCCATTTGTTTGTATCCTCTTTTATTTCCTGGAGCAATGGTTTGTAGTTCTCCTTGAAGAGGTCCTTCACATCCCTTGTAAGTTGGATTCCTAGGTATTTTATTCTCTTTGAAGCAATTGTGAATGGGAGTTCACTCATGATTTGGCTCTCTGTTTGTCTGTTGTTGGTGTATAAGAATGCTTGTGATTTTTGCACATTGATTTTGTATCCTGAGACTTTGCTGAAGTTGCTTATCAGCTTAAGGAGATTTTGGGCTGAGACAATAGGGTTTTCTAGATATACAATCATGTCGTCTGCAAACAGCCACAATTTGACTTCCTCTTTTCCTAATTGAATACCCTTTATTTCCTTCTCCTGCCTAATTGCCCTGGCCAGAACTTCCAAAACTATGTTGAATGGGAGTGGTGAGAGAGGGCATCCCTGTCTTGTGCCCGTTTTCAAAGGGAATGCTTCCAGTTTTTGCCCATTCAGTATGATACTGGCTGTGGGTTTGTCATAGATAGCTCTTATGATTTTGAAATACGTCCCATCAATACCTAATTTATTAAGAGTTTTTAACATGAAGGGTTGTTGAATTTTGTCAAAGGCTTTTTCTGCATCTATTGAGATAATCATGTGGTTTTTGTCTTTGGCTCTGTTTATATGCTGGATCACATTTATTGATTTGCGTATATTGAACCAGCCTTGCATCCCAGGGATGAAGCCCACTTGATCATGGTGGATAAGCTTTTTGATGTGCTGCTGGATTCGGTTTGCTAGTATTTTATTGAGGATTTTTGCATCAATGTTCATCAAGGATATTGGTCTAAAATTATCTTTTTTGGTTGTGTCTCTGCCTGGCTTTGGTATCAGAATGATGCTGGCCTCATAAAATGAGTTAGGGAGGATTCCCTCTTTTTCTATTGATTGGAATAGTTTCAGAAGGAATGGTACCAGTTCCTCCTTGTACCTCTGGTAGAATTCGGCTGTGAATCCATCTGGTCCTGGACTCTTTTTGGTTGGTAAGCTATTGATTATTGCCACAGTTTCAGATCCTGTTATTGGTCTATTCAGGGATTCAACTTCTTCCTGGTTTAGTCTTGGGAGAGTGTATATGTCCAGGAATTTATCCATTTCTTCTAGATTTTCTAGTTTATTTGCGTAGAGGTGTTTGTAGTATTCCCTGATGGCAGTTTGTGTTTCTGTGGGATCAGTGGTGATATCCCCTTTATCATTTTTTATTGCATCTATTTGATTCTTCTCTCTTTTTTTCTTTATTAGTCTTGCTAGCGGCCTATCAATTTTGTGGATCCTTTCAAAAAACCAGCTCCTGGATTCATTAATTTTTTGAAGGGTTTTTTGTGTCTCTATTTCCTTCAGTTCTGCTCTGATTTTAGTTATTTCTTGCCTTCTGCTAGCTTTTGAATGTGTTTGCTCTTGCTTTTCTGGTTCTTTTAATTGTGATGTTAGGGTGTCAATTTTAGATCTTTCCTGCTTTCACTTGTGGGCATTTAGTGCTATAAACTTCCCTCTACACACTGCTTTGAATGCGTCCCAGAGATTCTGGTATGTTGTGTCTTTGTTCTCATTGGTTTCAAAGAACATCTTTATTTCTGCCTTCATTTCGTTATGTACCCAGTAGTCATTCAGGAGCATGTTGTTCAGTTTCCATGTAGTTGAGCGGTTTTGAGTGAGATTCTTAATCCTGAGTTCTAGGAGATCCCTTTCTGAGTCAAAGAAAGCCGTGACGGACGGCACCTGGAAAATTGGGTCACTCCCACCTGAATACTGCGCTTTTCCGATGGGCTTAAAGAACGGTGCACCACCAGATTATATCCCGCACCTGGCTCGGAGGGCCCTACGCCCACGGAGTCTTGCTGATTGCTAGCACAGCAGTCTGAGATCAAACTGCAAGGCGGCAGTGAGGCTGGGGGAGGGGCGCCCACCATTGCCCAGGCTTGATTAGGTAAACAAAGCAGCCGGGAAGCTCAAACTGGGTGGAGCTCACCAGAGCTCAAGGAGGCCTGCCTGCCTCTGTAGGCTCCACCTCTGGGGGCAGGGCACAGACAAACAAAAAGACAGCAGTCACCTCTGCAGACTTAAATGTCCCTGTCTGACAGCTTTGAAGAGAGCAGTGGTTCTCCCAGCACGCAGCTGGAGATCTGAGAAAGGGCAGACTGCCTCCTCAAGTGGTTCCCTGACCCCTGACCCCCGAGCAGCCTAACTGGGAGGAACCCCCCAGCAGGGGCACACTGACACCTCACACGGCAGAGTACTCCAACAGGCCTGCAGCTGAGGGTCCTCTCTGTTGTTAGAAGGAAAACTAACAAACAGAAAGGACATCCACACCAAAAACCCATCTGTACATCACCATCATCAAAGACCTAAAGTTGATAAAACCACAAAGATGGGGAAAAAACAGAACAGAAAAACTGGAAACTCTAAAAAGCAGAGCGCCTCTCCTCCTCCAAAGGAACGCAGTTCCTCACCAGCAACGGAACAAGGCTGGATGGAGAATGACTTTGACGAGTTGAGAGAAGAAGGCTTCAGATGATCAAATTACTCTGAGCTACAGGAGGACATTCAAACCAAAGGCAAAGAAGTTGAAAACTTTGAAAAAAATTTAGAAGAATGTATAACTAGAATAACCAATACAGGGAAGTGCTTAAAGGAGCTGATGGAGCTGAAAGCCAATGCTTGAGAACTACGTGAAGAATGCAGAAGCCTCAGGAGCCAATGCAATCAACTGGAAGAAAGGGTATCAGCGATGGAAGATGAAATGAATGAAATGAAGGGAGAAGGGAAGTCTAGAGAAAAAAGAATAAAAAGAAATGAGCAAAGCCTCCAAGAAATATGGGACTATGTGAAAAGACGAAATCTACGTCTGATTGGTGTACCTGAAAGTGATGGGGAGAATGGAACCAAGTTGGAAAACACTCTGCAGGATATTATCCAGGAGAACTTCCCCAATCTAGCAAGGCAGGCCAACGTTCAGATTCAGGAAATACAGAGAATGCCACAGAGATACTCCTCGAGAAGAGCAACTCCAAGACACATAATTGTCAGATTCACCAAAGTGAAAATGAAGGAAAAAATGTTAAGGGCAGCCAGAGAGAAAGGTCAGGTTACTCTCAAAGGGAAGCCCATCAGACTAACAAACAGTGGATCTCTCGGCAGAAACCCTACAAGCCAGAAGAGAGTGGGGGCCAATATTCAACATTCTTAAAGAAAAGAATTTTCAACCCAGAATTTCATATCCAGCCAAACTTAGCTTCATAAGTGAAGGAGAAATAAAATCCTTTACAGAGAAGCAAATGCTGAGAGATTTTGTCACCACCAGGCCTGCCTTTTACAAGAGCTCCTGAAGGAAGTGCTAAACATGGAAAGGAACCACCGGTACCAGCCACTGCAAAATCATGCCAAAATGTAAAGGCCAACGAGACTAGGAAGAAACTGCATCAACCAATGAGCAAAATAACCAGCTAACATCATAATGACAGGATCAAATTCACACATAACAATATTAACTTTCAATGTAAATGGACTAAATGCTCCAATTAAAAGACACAGACTGGCAAATTGGATAAAGAGTCAAGACCCATCAGTGTGCTGTATTCAGGAAACCCATCTCATGTGCAGAGACACACATAGGCTCAAAATAAAAGGATGGAGGAAGATCTACCAAGCCAATGGAAAACAAAAAAAGGCAGGGGTTGCAATCCTAGTCTCTGACAAAACAGACTTTAAACCAACAAAGATCAAAAGAGACAAAGAAGGCCATTACATAATGGTAAAGGGATCAATTCAACAAGAAGAGCTAACTATCCTAAATATATATGCACCCAATACAGGAGCACCAAGATTCATAAAGCAAGTCCTGAGTGACCTACAAAGAGACTTAGACTCCCACACATTAATAATGGGAGACTTTAACACCCCACTGTCATCATTAGACAGATCAACGAGACAGAAAGTCAGCAAGGATACTGAGGAATTGAATTCAGCTCTGCACCAAGCAGACCTAATAGACATCTACAGAACTCTCCACCCCAAATCAACAGAATATACATTGTTTGAGCACAACACCACACCTATTCCAAAAGTGACCACATACAGGGAAGTAAAGCTCTCCTCAGCAAATGTAAAAGAACAGAAATTATAACAAACTAACTCTCAGACCACAGTGCAATCAAGCTTTCTAGTTTTTATCTGAAGATATTTCCTTTTACACCATAGACCTCATTGCACTCCCAAATATTCCTTCACAGATTCTAACAAAACAGAGTTTCCAAACTGCTGAATAAAAAGAAAGGTTTAACTCTGAGAAGTGAATGCACACATCACAAAGTGGTTTCTCAGTTAGTTTCCTTGTGGTTTTTATCCTGAGATATTTACTTTTTTGACTTTCACATCAATGAATTCCCAAATATCCCTTAGCAGATTCTGCAAAATAGTGCTTCTAAACTGCTGACACCAAAGAAATGTTTAAGCCTGTGAGGTTTCAGGCTGTGAGATTAATGCACACATCACCAAACAATTTCTCAGAATGCTTCTATCTCATTTTTATCTGAAGATGTTTCCTTTTAACCATAGCCCTCAGTGAGCTCCCAAATATCCCTTCACAGATTATACCAAAACAGTTTTTCCAAACTGCTGAATGAAAAATAAGTTTTAACTCTGTGAGATGAATGCACACATCACAAAGAGGTTTCTCAGACAACTTTCTTCTAGTTTTTATCCTGGGATATTCTCTTTTTTGCCATTGGACTCAATGAGCTACATAATTTCCATTCGCAGAATGGACAAAAACAATGTTCCCAAGCAGGTGAATACAAGGTAAGGTTTAACTGTGTAAAATGAATGCACACATCACACAGGAGTTTTTCAGATAGCTTCCTTCTAGTTTTTATCCTGGGCTATTCACTTTTTCTCCATTGGCCTCAATGACCTCCCAAATGTTCATTCACAGAATGGACAAAAACAGTGTTTCCAGCTGCTGAATCTAAAGAAATGTTTAATTCTGCCAGATGAAAGCACACATCACAAAGTGGTTTCTCAGTTAACTTCCTTCTGGTATTTATCCTAAGATATTCACTTTTTCACCATTGACGTCAATGAGCTCCAAAATATTGCTCTGTAGATAACACAAAAACAGTGTTTCAAAACTACTGAATCCCAAGAATGGTTTAACTTGCAATATGAATGCAGACATCACAAAGTGGATTCTCAGATGGCATTATTCTAGTTTTTCTCCTGGGATATTCGCTTTTTTGCCTTTGGCCTCAATGAGGTCTGAAATGTCCATTCACAGAATGAACAAAAACAGAGATTCCAAGCTGCTGAATGGAAGAAATTTTTAACTGGGTGAGATGAATGTACACATCATAAAGCAGTTTCTCAGAAAGCTTCCTTCCAGCTTTTATGTGAAGATAATTCCTTTTTCACCATAGGCCTCAATGTGCTCAAAAATATCCCTTCAAAGATTCTACCAAAACAGTGTTTCCAAACTGCTGAATGAAAAGAAAGGTTTAAGTCTGTGAGGTGAAGTCACACATCATACAGCGGTTTCTCAGAGAGAGAGCCCTTGTAGTTTTTATCCTAGGGTATTCACTTTTTCTCCATTGGCCACAATGA
This sequence comes from Homo sapiens, assembly GCF_000001405.40. Lineage (NCBI taxonomy): Eukaryota > Metazoa > Chordata > Mammalia > Primates > Hominidae > Homo > Homo sapiens. The sequence continues at coordinate 54,783,435 of NC_000011.10, read as the reverse complement.
GCTCCCAAAGATCCATTTGCAGAATGCACAAAATCAGTGTTTGCAATCTGCTGAATTAACAGAAAGATTTAACTCTGTGTGATAAATGCACACATCCAAAGCAGTTTCTCAGAAAGCATATTTCTAGTTTTTATCTGAAGATATTTCCTTTTTCACCATAGGCCTCAATGTGATCCCAAAATTCCCTTTTCAGATTCTACCAAAACAGTGTTTCCAAATTGCTGAATGAAAACAAAGGTTTAATTCTGTGAGATGAATGCATACATCACAAAGCTGTTTCTCAGATAGGTTCCTTCCAGTTTTTTTCCTGGGATATTTGCTTTTTCACCTATGGTATCAATGATCTATCAAACATTCCTTTGTAGATTCCACAAAAACAGTATTTCCCAACTGTTGAATCAAAACAAAGGTTTAGCTCTGCGAAATGAATTCACACATCATGAAGTAGTTTCTCAGAAAACTTCTTTCTAGTTTTTATCTGAAGATATTTCCTTTTTCACCATCGGCCTCATTGAGCTCCCACATATCCCTTCTCAGATTCTACCTAAACAGTGTTTCCAAGCTGCTGAATGAAAAGAAAGGTTTAATTCTGTGAGAAGAATAGACACATCATAAAGAGGTTTGCCAGATAACTTTCTTGTAGTTTTTATCCTGGGATATTAACTTTTTCTCCATTGCTCCCAATGAGCTCCCAAATGTCCATTCACAGAATCAAAAAAAAAAACAACAGTGCTTCCAAAATGGTGCAATAAAAGAAAGATTTAACTTTGTGAGATGAATGCACACATCACAATGTGATTTCTAAAATACCTTCCTTCTAGTTTTTATTCTGGACTATTTTATTTTTTGCCATGGCCTCAATGAGCTCCCAAATTCCCTTTGCAGATTCTACAAAAACAGTGTTTCCAAACTGCTAAATCCAAAGAAAGCTTTAACTCTCTGAGATGAATGCACACACCACAAAGTGGTTTCTGAGATAGCTTCCTTCTTGTATTTATCCTGGGATTTTTATTTTTCACCATTGGCATCAATGAGCTCCCAAATGTCTATCCACAAAATGGACAAAAACAGTGTTTCCTATTGGAGGATCCACCACTGATAATTCAACATAGGTTCTTTTCTATTTTCAGTAAGTGTCAGCCAGTCTGTGAAATAAAGGGGAAGAGTACAAAAGAGAGAAATTTCAAAGCTGGGTGTATGATGGAAACATCACATGTCAGCCGTATCTGTATTGTCCCTAGAGCCTTAAAACCAGCAAGTTTTTATTAGCAATTTTCAAGGTGGAGAGAGTGTATGAATAGGTAGTGTGTCACAGAGATCTCATACATCAAGGGCAACAAAGGATCACAAAGCAGAAGTTCAGGGCGAGATCACAAGGTCAGGGCAAAGCTAGAATTACTAATGAAGTTTCATGTCCTGCTGTGCATGCATTTTCATTGGTAAACATCTTAACAGGGTTCAAGAGCAGAGAATTGGTCTGACTGCAATTTGGCAGGCAGGAATGTCCTAATCCTAGCAAGCCTCGGGGTGCTGCAGTATGCCAGGGCATGCTTCATCCCTTATCTGAAACAGGATAAGGCGGACATCCCCAGAGCAGCCATTTTAGAGGCCCCCTCTGGGAATGTATTCTTTTCCCATGCCATTAAATATTAATATTCCTTACTTGGAAAGAATTCAGTGATATTTCTCTTATTCATTTTCAGTAATAAGAGAAATACGGCTCTGTCATGCCCAGTCCATAGGTAACCAGACTTTATCTCCCTTGTTCCCTGAAAATCACGGTTATCCTGTCCTTAAGGTGCCCAGACTTCATAATGTTCAAACACATATGCTTTACAAACAATCTGTGCATTAACACAATCATCACAGGGTCCTGAGGTGACATACATACTCAGCTTTGGAAGATGATGGGACTAAGAGGTTAAAGACAGGCATAGGAAATTACAAGGGAATTGGTTGGGGAAATGACAAATGTCCAGGAAATCTTCAAAATTTATGTTTTTCTGTCATGGCTTCAGCAGGTCCCTCTGTTCAGTGTCCCTGACTTCCCACAACAGTTTCTAAGCCACCGAATCCAAAGAAAGGTTTAACTCTGTGAGAGGAATGCACACATGACAAAGCAGCTTCTCAGAAAGCTTCTTTCTAGTTTTTGTCTGAAGATATTTCATTTTTCACCATAGGCCTCAATGTGCTCCCAAATATCCCTTCACAGATTCTACAAAAACAGTTTTTCCAAATGGCTAAATGAAAACCAAGATTTAACTCTGTGAGATGAATGCACACATCACAAAGCTGTTTCGTAAATAACTTTCTTCTTGTTTCTTTCCTGGGATATTCACTTTTTCACCTTTGGTCTCCAAATATCCATTCACAGAATGGACAAAAACAGTTTTTCCAAACTGCCGAATCTGAAGAAAGGTTTAACTCTGTGACATGAATGCAAACATCACAAAACAGTTTCTCAGAAAGCTTCTTTCTAGTTTTTGTTTAAATATATTTCCTTTTTCACCATAGGCCTCAATTCACTCCAAAATATCTGTTACCGATTCTAAAAAAAGAGTGTTCCCAAACTGCTGGATGAAAGGAAAGGTTTAACTCTGTGAGATGAATGCACACATCACAAAGCAGTTTCTCAGATAGATTCCTTCTAGCTTTTATCCAGGAATATTTGCTTTTTCGACTTTCGCCTCAATGAGCTCCCAAATATTCCTTTGGAGATGCTATAAAAACAGGGTTTTCAAACTTCTGAATTCAAAGAGAGGTTGAACTCTGTCAGATGAATGTACATATCACAAAGCAGTTTCTCAGAAAGATTCTTTCTAGTTTTTATCTGAAGATAATTCCTTTTTCACCATTGGTCGGAGTGTGCTACAAAATACCCCCATGCAGATGTTACAAAAGCATAGTTTACAAACTGCTGATTTCTGAGAGAGGTTTAGCTCTGTCAGATGAAGGCACACATCACAAAGCATTTACTCAGATAGCTTCCACTTAGTTTTTATCCTGGGATTTTCACTTTTTTGCCATAGGTCTCAGTGAACTTCGAAATGTTGATTCACAGAATGCACAAAAACAGTGCATCCAAACTGCAGAATCCAAAAAGGGTTTAACTCTGTGAGATGAATGCACACATCACCAAGCAGTTTCTCAGGAAGCTTCTTTCTAGTTTTTTTCTAAAAGTATTTCCTTTTTAACCATAGACTTCAATGCCCTCCAAAATATCCCTTTGTATATACTACATAAACAGTGTTTCCAAACTGCTGAATGAAAAGAAAGGTTTAACTCTGCGAGATGAATGCCCACATCACAAAGTGGTTTCCTCGTATTTCTTATAATGGGGTATCCCCTTTTTCACCATTGACCTCAATGAGGTCCCAAATGTCCATTCACAGAATGGAAAAAAACAGTGTTTCCAAACTGCTGAATACAAAGAAAGGTTGAACTCTGAGATTAATGCACACATCACAAAGCGGTTTCTAAGAAAGCTTCTTTCTAGTTTTTATCTGAAGATACGTCCTTTTACATAATAGGCCTCAATGCACTCCCAAATATCCCATTACTGATTCAACAAAAACAGTGTTTCCAAACTGCCAAATGAAAAGAAATGTGTAACTCTGCGAGATGAATACACACATCACAAGGCTGTTACTCAGATAGCTTCCTTCTAGTTTTTATCCTGGGATATTCACTTTTTTGCCATTGGCCTCAATGAGCTCATAAATGTCCATTAGCAGAATGGACAAAAAAAGTTTCCAAACTGATGAATACAACAAAAGGTTTAACCCTATGAGATGAATACAAACATCACAAGACATTTTGTTCAAAAGCTTCTTTCTAGTTTTTATCCTGGGATGTTCATTTTTTTACTTTTGGCCTCAATGAGCTTCCAAACATCCCTTTGCAGATTCTCCAAAAACAGTGTTTCCAAAGTGCTGAATCCAAAGAATGATTTAACTCTGTGAGATGATTGCAAACATCACGAAAAAGTTTCTCAGAAAGCTTCTTTCTAATTTTTATCTGAAGGTATTTCTTTTTCCACCATAGGCTTCAATATGCTTCCAAATATCCTTGTGCAGATTCCACCAAAACACAGTTTCCCATTTGCAGAATGAAAAGACAGGTTTAAGTTTGCGAGATGAATGCACGCATCACAAAGAAATTACTCAGATAGCTTCCTTCTAGTTTTTATCCTGGGATATTCTCTTTTTGGTCTTTGGCCTCAACGAGCTCCCAAATATCCCTTCACAGATTGTATAAAAACAGTGTTTCCAAACTGTTGAATTGAAAGAAAGGCTTAACTTTGTGAGACGAATGCACACATCACAAAACAGTTTCTCAGGTAGCTTCTTCCCAGTTTTTTTCTGAATATATTTCCTTTTTAACCATAGGACCCAATGCACTCCCAAATATCCCTTCACAGATTCCACCAAAACAGTATTTCCCAACTACTGAATGAAAAGGAAGTTTTAAATCTGTGAGAAGAATGCTTACATTACAAGGCAGTTTCTCAGATAGCTTCCTTCTCATTTTTACCCTGGGATATTTGCTTTTTCGCCATTGGTGTCAAGGAGCTCTGAAATGTCCATTAGCATAATGGAAAAAAACAGTATTTCCAAACTGCTGAATCCAGAGAAATTTTTAACTCTGTGAGATGAATGCAAGCATCACAAAGCATTTTCTCTGAAAGCTTTATACTAGTTTCTAACTGAAAATATTTCCTTTTTCACCATAGGCCTCAATGAGCTCCCAAGTATCCCTTCACGGATTCTACCAAAACAGTGTTTCAAATCTGCTGAATGAAAAGAAATGTTTAAGTCTGCATGATGAATGTGCACATCAAAAAGCTGTTTGTCAGTTAGCTTCCTTCTAGTTTTTATCCTGGGATATTTGCTTTTACACCTTTGGACTCAGTAAGCCCCCGAATATCCCTTTTACAGATCCTACAAAAAGGAGTTTTGAAACTGCTGAATCAAAAGAAAGTTTTAACTCTGTGAGATGAATGCACATATCACAAAGCACTTTCTCAGAAACCTTCATTCCAGTTTTTATCTGAAGATATTTACTTTTTCACCTTAGGCTTCAATACGCTCCCAAATATCCCTTTACAGTTTCTACAAAACACTGTTTGCAAACTGCTGAATAAAAAGAAAGGTTTAACTCACCGAGATGAATTCACACATCACCATGCAGTTTCTCAGATAGCTCTCTTCTAGTTTTTCTATTGGGATATTTGCTTTTTCACCACTGGCCTCAAATTCCTTCCAAATGTCCATTCAACAAATGGAAAAAACTGTGATTCCAAACTGCTGAATCCAAAGAAAGGTTTAACTCTGTGAGATGAATGCACACATCACAAAGCAGTTTCTCAGAAAGCTTCTTTCTAGTTTTTATCTGAAAATATTTCCTTTTTCACTATATGAATCAATGCGCTCTCAAATATCCATTCACAGATTCTACAAAAACAGTGTTTCCAAACTGCTGAATGAAAAGAAAGTTTTAACTCTGTGAGACGAATGCACACATCACAAAGTTGTTTCTCAGATAGCTTCCTTCTAGTTTTTTCAGTCAGATATTCACTTCTTCCCCTTTGGTCTCAATGAGCTACCCAATATTCAATTGCAGATTCTACAAAAACAGTGTTTCCAAACTGCTGAATCAAAAGAAAGGTCTAATACTATGAGATGAATGCACACATCACAAAGCAATTTCTCAGAAAGTTTCTTTCCAGTTTTTATTTGAAGATATTTTCTTTTTCAACATAGGCTTCAAATTGCTCCAAAATATCCATCCGCAGATTCTCAAAAACAGTGTTTCCAAACTGCTGAATGAAAATACAAGCTTAACTCTATGAGACGAATGCACACAACACATACCAGTTTCTCAAATAGCTTCCTTCTAGTTTTTAATGTGGGATATTCGTTTTTTCACAATTGGCCTCAATGAGCTCCCAAATGTCCATTCTCAGAATGGTTAAAAAAGTGTCTCCAAACTGATGAATCCAATGAAACGTTTAACACTATTAGATGAATGCACACATCACAAAGCTGTTGCTCAGAAAGCTTCTTTCTAGTTTTTATCCTCGGATGTCACTTTTTTGCCTTTGACCTCAATGAGCTGCCAAATACCCCTTCATAGATTCTACAAAAACAGTGTTTCCAAACTGGTGAATCCAAGGAAAGTTTTAACGCTGTGAGATGAATGCACACATCACAAAGCAGTTTCTCAGAAAGCTTCCTTCTCGTTTTTATCTGAAGATAATTTTTCACCGTAGGACTCAATGCATTCCCAAATATCCCTTTGCAGATTCTACAGAAACAGTGTTTCCAAACTGCTGAATGAAAAGAAAGGCTTAACCCTGCATAATGAATGCACATATCACAAAGTGGTTTTTCAGGTAACTTCCTTCTAGTTATTGTCCTGGAATATTCACTTTTTCACCATTGGCCTCTATGAACTCTAAAATGTCCATTCGCAGAATGGAGAAAAACAATGTTTCCAAACTGCTGAATCCAATAAAAGGTTTAACTCTATGAGATGAATGCACACATCACAAAGAAGTTTCTCAGAAATCTTCTTTCTAGTTTTTATCTGAATATATTTCCTCTTTGACCATAGGCCTCAATGTGCTCCGAAGTATAACTTCACAGATTCCACTAAAACAGTGTTTCCAAACTGCTGAATGAACAAAAATATTTAACTCTGTGAGATTAATGCACATACAACAAAGCTGTTTCTCAGTAAGCTTCTTGTTAGTCTTTATCTGAAGATATTTCATTGTTCACCAAAGTCACAATGTGCTTCCAAATATACCTTTACAGATTCTACCAAAACAGCATTTTCAAGCTGCTGAATGAAAAGAAAAGTTTAACTCTGTGACATAAATGCACGCATTGCAAAGTGATTTCCAGATAGCTTCCTACTAGTTTTTCTCCTGGGATATTCGCTATTTCTCCTTTGGCCTCAATAACCTCCAAAATGTCCCTTCACAGAATGTACAAAAACAGTGTTTCCAAATTCTTGAACACAAAGAAAGGTTAAAATCTGTGAGAAAAATGCACACATCAGAAAGCAGTTTCTCAGAAAGCTTCTTTCTCATTTTTATGTGAAGTTATTTCCTTTTTCACCATAGGCCTCAATGCTCTTCCAAATATTCCTTCACAGATTCTACAACAACAGTGTTTCCAAACTGCTGAATGAAAAGAAAGGTTTAATTCTGTGAGATGAATGTACTCATCACCAAGCAGTGTCTCAGATAGATTCCTTCTAATTTTCATCCTTGAATATTCACTTTGTCTCCCTTGGCCTCTTTCAGCTCCCAATTGACCATTCACAGAATGGACAAAAACGGTGTTTCCAAACTGCTGGATCAAAGCCAAGGTTTAACTCTGTGAGATGAATGCACACATCACAAACCGGATTCTCAGATAACTTCCTTCTAGTTTTTACCCTTTGATATTTGCTTTTTCAACTTTGGCATCAATCACCTCACAAACATCCCTTTGCAGATTCTACAAAAGCAGTGTTTCCAAACTGCTGAATCCCAAGAAAGTCTTAACCCTGTGAGATGAATGCACACATCACAAAGCAGTCTCTCAGAAAGTTTCTTTTTAGTTTTCACCTGAAGATATTTCCTTTTCCACCATAAGTCTCAATGCACTCCCAAATATCCCTTCACAGATCCTACAAAAGCAGTGTTTCCAAACTACTGAATCCAACGAAATGTTTAACTCTTTGAGATGAATGCACACCTCATAAAACAGTTTCTCTGAAAGCCTCTTTCTAGTTTTCATCTGATGACATTTCCTTTTTCAACATAGGCCTCAATGCACTCTCGAATATCCCTTCACAGATTCTCACAGGTTTAACTCTGTGAGATGAATGCTCACATCACAAAGCAGTTTCTCAGATAGCTTCCTTCCAATTTTTATATGGGGATATTCTCTTTTTCACCACTGGCCTCAATGAGTTCCCAAATGTCCATTTGTAGAATGGACAGAAAGAGTGCTTCAAAATTTCTGAATAAGCAAAAAGGTTTAACTGTGTGAGATGAATGCACACAATACAGAGAAGTTTATCAGAAAGCTTCTTTCTGGTTTTTACCTGAAGATATTTCCTTTTTTACTATTGACCTCAATGTTCTCACAAATATCTCTCAACAGTTTCTACAAAAACACTGTTTCCAAACTACTGAATCAAAAGAAAGTTTTAATTGTGTGAGATGAATGCAACATTATGAAGCATTTTCTCAGAAAGCTTATTTCTAGTTTTTATCTGAAGATATTTCCTTTTTCCCCATAAGCCTAAAAGCGCTCCCAAATATCCCTTTGCAGATTCTACAAAAACAATTTTTCCAAGCTGCTGAATTAAAAGAAAGGTTTAACTCTTCAAGATGAATGCAGATATCACAAATCAGTTTCTCAGAGAGCTTCCTTCTTGTTTTTATCCTGGGATATTCACTTTTTCACCATTGGCCTCAAGGAGCTTCAAAGGTCCCTTCACAGAATTACAAAAACAGCCTCTCCAAACTGCTGAATCCAAAGAAAGATTTAACTCTGTGAAATGAATGCACACATCACAAATCAGTTTCTCAGAAGGCTTCTTTCCAGTTTTTATCTGAAGATATTTCCTTTTTCACCATAGGCTTAATGCACTCCTAAATAACCTTTCACAGATTCTACAAAAACAGTGTTTCCAAACTTCTGAATGAAACGAAAGTTTCAACTCTGTGAGACGAATGCACACACCAAAAGGGGTTACTCAGATAGCTTCCTTCTAATTTTTATCCTGGGATATTCACTTTTTTGCCATTGGTCTCATTGATCTCTCAAATGTCCATTCACAGAAATGACAGAAAGAGTGTTTCCAAATTGCTGAATCCAACAAAATGTTTAACTCTGTGAGACAAATGCATACATCACAAAGCAGTTTCTCAGAATGATTCCTTCTAGTTTTTATCTGAAGATATTTTCTTTTTCACCACAAGCCTCAAGTCACTCCCAAATATCCCATTGTAGATTCTACAAAAACACTCTTGCCAAAGTACTGAATGAAAAGAAAAGTTTAATTCTGTGAGATGCATGTGCACATCACAAAGAGGTTTCTCACATAGCTTCCTTCTAGTTTGTTTCCTGGGATATTCTGTTTTTCACCAAATGTTCCAAATGTCCATTCACACAACGAACATAAACAGTGTTTCCAAACTGCTGAATCCACAGAAAGGTTTAACTCTGTGAGATGATTGCACACATCACAAAGAAGTTTCTCTGAAAGTTTCTAATTTTTATTTGAAGATGTTTCCTTTTCCACCATAGGCCTCAGTGTGTCCCAAAATCCCTTCACAGATTCTACGAAAACAATTTTCCTAAAGTGCTGAATGAAAAGAAAAGTTTAACTCTGTGAAATGAGTGCACACATAGCAAAGAGGTTTCTCAGATAGCTTTTTCTAGTTTATAACCTGGAATATTCACTTTTTCACCATTTTTCTCAATGAGCTTCCAAAGGTCCATTCGCAGAATGGACAAAAACAGTCTTTGGAACTGCTGAATCCAAAGAACATTTTAACTTTGGGAGATGAATGCACACATCATAAAGCAGTTCCTCAGGAAGCTTCTTTCTTCTTTTTATTTGAAGATATTTTCTTTTTCACCAAAAGTCTCAAGGCACTCCCAAATATCCCTCTGGAGATTTCTACAAAAACAGTGTTTCCAAACTGCTTATTGAAAAGAAAGATTAATTTTCGAGATGAATGCACACATCACAAAGCAGTTTCTCAGACAGCTTTCTTCTAGTTTTTATCCTGGGATATTCACTTTTTCACTATTGGCCACAATGAGGTCACAAATGTCCATTCACAAAATGGACAATAACAGTGTTACCAAACTGCTGAATCCAAAGAAATGTGTAACTCTGTGAGATGAAAATACACATTACAAAGCAGTTTCTCAGAACGCTTCTTTGTAGTTTTTATCTGAAGATAATTTCTTGTTACCATAGGCCTCCATATGCTCCCAAATATCCATTCACATATTCTATAAAAACAGTGTTTCCAAACTGATGAATAAAAAACATTTCATTTTGCGAGATGAATGCACACATCACAAAGAAGTTTCTCAGATGGCTTCTTTCTAGTTTTAATTCTGGGGTATTTGCTTTTCTCCCATCGGCCTCAATGAGCTCCCAAATGTCCATTCGCAGAATGGAGAAAGCAGTGTTTCCAAACTGCTGAATCCAAAGGAAGGTTTAACTCCTTGAGATGAATGCACACATCACAAAGCAGTTTCTCAGAGAGCTTCTTTCTAGTTTTTGTCTGAAGATATTTTTTCATCATAGACCTCAATGTGCTCCCAAATATCCCTTCGTAGATTCTACAAAAACAGTGTTTCCAAACTGCTGAATGAAAAGGAAGGTTTATCTCTGTGAATTGAATATACAGATCATAAGTCAGTTATTCAGATAGCTTCCTTCTAGTTTTTTTCCTGGGATATCCCTTTTTTCACCATTGGCCTCAATGAGCTCCCAAATGTCCATTCACAGAATGGAAAGAAACAGCATTTTCAAATTGTGGAATAAAGAAATGTTTAACTCTGTGAGATGAATGGACACATCACAAAGTGGTTTCTCAGAAAACTTCTTCTTAGTTTTTATCTCAAGATATTTCCCTTTTAACAAAAAAGTGTTTCCAAACAGTTCAATTAAAGAAATGTTTTAACTCTCTGAGTTGAATGCACACGTCACAAAGTGGTTTCTCAGACAGCTTCCTTCTAGTTTTTATCACGTCATATTTGCTTTTTCACCATTGACCTCAGTGTTCTCACAAATATGCCATCACAGTTTCTACAAAAACAGTGTTTCCAAACTGCTTAATCAAAATAAATTTTAATTGTGTGAGATGAATGCAGCATTACAAAGCAGTTTCTCAAAAGTTTCTTTCTAGTTTTTATCTGAAGCTATTTTCTTTTTCACCATAGACCTGAATGTGCTCTCAAATATCCCTTCCCACATTGTACAAAAATAGTGTTTCTAAACTCCTGAATAAAAAGAAAGGTTTAACTCTGAGAAATGAATGAATACATCACAAAGCAGTTTTTCAGATAGCTTCCTTCTAGTTTTTACACTGGGATTTTGCTTTTTTGTCATTGTCCTCCATGAGCTTCCAAAGGTCCTTTTGCAGAATGGACAAAAAGGTGTTTCCAAACTGCTGAATCCAAAGAAAGGTTTAACTCTGTGAGATGAATGCACACATCACAAGGGAGTTTCTCAGAAAGCTTCTTTCTAGTTTTTATCTGAAGATATATTTTTTTCACCATACTTTTCTATGTGCTCCAAAATGTCCATTCGCAGATTCTACAAAAACAGTTTTTCCAAACTGCTGAATCCAAAGAAAGGTTTAACTCTGTGAGATTAATGCACACATTACAAAGCAGTTTCTCAGAAGGCTTCTTTCTAGTTTTTATCAGGAGATATTTTCTTTTTCACCATAAGCATCAGTGAGCTACAAAATATCACTTCTAATATTCTACAAAAACAGTGTTTCCAAACTGCTGAATGAAAAGAATGATTTCACTCTGTGGGATGAATGCACACATCAAAAAACGGTTTCTCAGATAGCTTCCTTCTAGGTTTTATCCAGGGATATTCACTTTGTTGCCATTGGCCTGAATGAGCTCCCAAATGCCTGTTCATATAATGGACAAAAACAGTGTTTCCAAACTGCTGACTCAAAAGAAACGTTTATTTTGGGATGAATGCACATATCACAAAGCATTTCATTAGAAACCTTCTTTACGGTTTTTATCAGGAGATATTTGCTTTTTCACCATAGGCCTCAGTGTGCTCCCAAAAATCCCTTCACAGGTTCTACAAAAATGGTGTTTCAAAACTGCTGAAAGAAAAGTAACGTTTAACTCTGTGAGATGAATGCACACATGACCAGGTGGTTTTTCAGGTAAATTACTTCTGGTTTTTATCCAGGCATATTAGATTTTTTTTTGCCCTTGTCCTCAATGAGCTCTCAAGTGTCCATTCATAGAATGGAGAACCACACTGTTTCCAAATGCTGCATTGAAAGAAACATTTAACTCTGTGAGTTGGATGCACACACCTCAAAGAGGTTTGTCAGAAAGATTTTTTCTAGTTTTTAACTGAAGATAGTTTCTTTTTCACCGTGGGCCACAATGCACTCCCAAATATCCCTTTGAAGATTCTACAAATTCAGTGTTTCCAAACTGCTGAATCAAAAGAAAGTTGTAAATCTGTGAGTTGCACAGATTGTCACACACATCAGAAAGCACTTTATCAGAAACCTTCTTTCTAGTTTTATCAGAAGTTATTTTCTTTCTCATTGTAGGCCTCAATATGCTCCCAAATGTCCATTCACAGAATGTACAAAAACAGTGTTCCCAAATTACTGAATCAAAAGAAAGTTTTAACTCTTTGAGATGAATGCACACATCACAATGCAGTTTGTCAAATAGTTTCATTATAGTTTATATCTCAGGATATTCTCTTTTTCACCTTTGGCCTGAATGAGTCACTAAATATTGCTTATGAGATTCTACAAAAACCATGTTTCCAAACTGCTGAATCAAAAAAATTGTTTAACTCTGTCAGGTGAATGCACACATCACAGTGTAGTTTCTCAGAGATCTCCTTTCTAGTTTTTACCTGAAGTTATTTTCTTTTTCACCATAGACCTCAGTGCTCTCTCAAGTATCCCTTTCCATGTTGTACAAAAACAGAGTTTCTAAACTGCTGAATGAAGAGAAAGTTTAACTCTGTGAGATAAATGCACACATCACAAAGCAGTTTCTCAGATAGCTTCCTTCTAGTTTTTACACTGGGATATTTACTTTTTTGTGATTGTCCTCAATGAGCTCCCAAATGTCCTTTTGCAGAATGGACAAAAAGGATGATTCCAAACTGCTGAATCCAAAGAAAAGTTTAACTCTGTGAGATGAATGCACACATCACAAGGGAGTTTCTCAGAAAGCTTCTTTCTAGTTTTTATCTGAAGATATATTTTTTCACCATAGGTTTCTATGTGCTCCAAAATGTCCATTTGCAGATTCTACAAAAACAGTTTTTCCAAACTGCTGAATCCAAAAAAAGGTTTAACTCTGTGAGATGAATGTACACATCACAAAGCAGTTTCTCAGAAGGCTTCTTTCTAGTTTTTATCGGGAGATATTTTCTTTTTCACCATAAGCGTCAGTGAGCTACAAAATATCACTTCGCAGATCCTACAAAAACAGTGTTTCCAAACTGCTGAATGAATAGAATGATTTCACTCTGTGGGATGAATGCACACATCACAAAACGGTTTCTCAGATAGCTTCCTTCTAGGTTTTATCCAGGGATATTCACTTTGCTGCCATTGGCCTGAATGAACTCCCAAATGCCTGTTCATATAATGGACAAAAACAGTGTTTCCAATCTGCTGAATAAAAAGAAAGGTTTATTTTTGGGATGAATGCACACATCAAAAAGCATTTATTTAGAAACTTTCTTTATGGTTTTTATCAGGAGATATTTGCTTTTTCACCATAGGCCTCAATGTGCTCCCAAAAATCCCTTCACAAATTCTACAAAAATGGTGTTTCAAAACTGCTGAAAGAAAAGTAACATTTAACTCTGTGAGATGAATGCACACATGACCAGGCAGTTTCTCAGATAGCTTCCTTCTAGTTTTTACACTGGGATATTTTCTTTTTTGCCTTTGTCCTCAATGAGCTCCCAAATGTCTTTTTGGAGGATGGACAAAAACATTGTTTCCAAACTGCTGAATCCAAAGAAAGGTTTAACTCGGTGAGGTGAGTGCACACGTCACAAAGCAGTTTCTCAGAAAGCTTCTTTCTTGTTTTTATCTACAGATATTTTATTTTTCACCATAGCCCTCAATGCACTCTCAAATATCCCTTCACAAATTCTACAAAAACAGTGTTTCCAAACAGCTGAATAAAAGTGTGTTTTAACTAAGTGAGATGAATGCGCACATCACAGATCAGTTTCTCAGAAGGCTTCTTTCTAGTTTTTATCAGGAGATATTTTCTTTTTCACCATAAGCATCAGTGAGCTACAAAATATCACTTCACAGATCCTACAAAAACAGTGTTTCCAAACTGCTGAATGAAAAGAATGATTTCACTCTGTGGGGTGAATGCCCGCATCACAAAACGGTTTCTCAGATAGCTTCCTTCTAGGTTTTATCCAGGGATATTCACTTTGTTGCCATTGGCTAGAATGAGCTCCCAAATACCTGTTCATATAATGGACAAAAACAGTGTTTCCAAACTGCTGAATAAAAAGAAATGTTTATTTTTGGGATGAATGCACACATCACAAAGCATTTATTTAGAAACTTTCTTTATGGTTTTTATCAGGAGATATTTGCTTTTTCACCATAGGCCTCAATGTGCTCCCAAAAATCCCTTCACAGATTCTACAAAAATGGTGTTTCAAAACTGCTGAAAGAAAAGTAACGTTAAATCTGTGAGATGAATGCACACATGACCAGGCAGTTTCTCAGATAGCTTCTTTCTAGTTTTTACACTGGGATATTTGCTTTTTTGCCTTTGTCCTCAACGAGCTCCCAAATGTCTTTTTGGAGGATGGACAAAAACATTGTTTCCAAACTGCTGAATCCAAAGAAAGGTTTAACTCGGTGAGGTGAGTGCACACTTCACAAAGCAGTTTCTCAGAAAGCTTCTTTCTTGTTTTTATCTAAAGATATTTTATTTTTCACCATAGCCCTCAATGCACTCTCAAATATCCCTTCACAAATTCTACAAAAACAGTGTTTCCAAATAGCTGAATAAAAGTGTGTTTTAACTAAGTGAGAGGAATGCACACATCACAGATCAGTTTCTCAGAAGGCTTCTTTCTAGTTTTTATCAAAAGATACTTTCTTTTTCACCATAGGTTTCAATGCACTCCCAAATGTCCATTCACAGATTCTTCAAAAACATTTTTTCCAAACTGCTGAATGACAAGAAAGGTTTCATTCTGTGAGATGATTGCACACATTACAAAGTGGTTTCTCAGATAGCTTCCTTCTAGTTTTTTTCCATGGATGTTCTCTTTTTCGCATTTGGCCTCAATGAGTTCCCAGTTGTCCTTTCCAACAATGAATAAAAATAGTGTTTCCAAACTGCTGAATAAAAAGAAAGTTTTAAATCTGTGAGATGAAGGCACACATCACAAAACAGTTCTTCAGAAAGCTTCTTTCTAGCATTACCTGAAGCTACTTCCTTTTTCAAGATAGGCCTCAATGCACTCAAAATTATCCTTTCACAGAATCTAGAAAAACAGTGTTTCCACCCTGCTGAATGAAAAAAAAGGTTTAACTCCGCAAGAGGAATGCACACATAACAAAGCATTTTCTCTGATAGATTACTTTTGTTTTTATCCTGGGATATTCACTTTTTGGCCAATGTCCTCAATGCTCTTTCAAATGTCCATTCGCAGAATGGACAAAAGAAGTGTTTCCAAAATGCTGAATCAAAAAAGGTTTAAAACTGAGAGATGAATACACGCATGACAAAGCAGTTTCTCAGAAAACTTCTCTGTAGTTTTTATCTGAAGATATTTTCTTTTTCACCATGGGCCACAATGCGCTCCCAAATATCCCTTTGGAGATTCTACAAAATCAGCTTTTCCTTATTGCTGAATCAAGAGAAAGTTTAAAACCTGTGAGTTGAATGCACACATCAGAAAACACTTTCTCAGAAAGCTTCTTTCTAGTTTTATCAGAAGTTATCTTCCTTCTCATTGTAGGCCTCAACACGCTCCCAAATGTCCATTCACAGAATGTACAAAAACAGTGTTTCCAAACTACTGAAACAAAAGAAAGCTTTAACTCTGTGAGATGAATGCACACATTACAATGCAGTTTGTCAGACAGTTTTGTTATAGTTTATATCTCAGGATATTCCCTTTTTTGCCATTGGTGTGAATGACCTGCCAAATTCACCTTTGGAGATTCTACAAAAACCGTGTTTCCAAACTGCTGAATCAAAAGAAAGGTTTCACTCTGTCAGATGAAAGCACACATCACAAAGCAGTTTCTCAGAATGCTTCTTTCTATTTTTTATCTGAAGAAATTTTCTTTTTCACCGTTGACCTCAATGCATTCCCAACTGTCCCTTCCCACATTGTACAAAAACAGTGTTTCTAAACTGCTGAATGAAGAGAAAGGTTTAACTCTGTCAGATAAATGCACACATCACAAAGCAGTTTCTCAGATAGTTTTCTTCTAGCTTTTACCATGGGATATTTGCTTTTTCTCCATTTCGTCAATGAGTTCCAAATGTCCTTTCACAAAATGGACAAAAACAGTTTTTCCAAACTGCTGAATCCAAAGAAAGATTTAACTCTGTGAGATGAATGCACACATCACAAAGCCGTTTCTCAGAAAGTTTCTTTCCAGTTTTTATCAGAATATATTTTATTTTTCACAAAAGGTTTAAATGTGCTTGCAAATGCCCCTTCACAGATTCTACAAAAATGGTGTTTTCACTTGGCTGAATCAAAAGAATTGTTTAACTCTGTGAGATGAAAGCACACATCACAAAGCAGTTTCTCAGTAAACATCTTTCTTGTTATTACCTGAAAATATATTATTTTTCACCATAGGCATAATGCATTCCCAAATATCCCTTTGCAGATTCTATCAAAACTCTATTTCCAAGCTGGTGAATGAAAAGAAAGGTTTAACTCTGTGAGATGAATGCACACATCTCAAAGTAGTTTCTCAGATAGTTTCCTTTTAGTGTTTATCCTGGGATATTAGCTTTTTTGCCATTGGCCTCAAAGTGCTCCCAAATGTCCATTCGCAGAATGGACAAAAAGAGTGTTTCCAAACTGCTGAATCCAAATAAAGGTTTAACTCTGTGAGATGAATGCACACATCACAAAGCAGTTTCTCAGAAAGGATATTTCTAGTTTTTAACTGAATATAATTTCTTTTTCACCATGGCCTCCATGCACTCCCAAGTATCCCTTCTCAGATTCTGCAAAATCAGTGTTTTCAAACTGCTGAATCAAAAGAAAGGTTTAACTTTGTGACAGACATGCACACATCACAAAGCAGTTTCTGAGAAAGCTTCTTTCTGGTTTTTATCTGAAGATATTTTCTTTTTCACCATAGGCCTAAAGGCATTCTAAAATATGCTTTCACAGATTCTACAAAACCACTGTTTCCAAACTGCTGAATGAAAAGTAAGGTTTAATTCTGTGAGATGAATGCATATTGGGGGAAACCAGTCCCTGATATTCACGTGGGTCCTTTTCTATTTTCCCTAAGTGTCAGCTTGTCTGAGAAATAAAGGGAAAGAATACAAAAGAGAGAAATTTTAAAGTTGGGTTGCTGGGGGAGACATCACATGTTGGCAGATTCTGTGATGCTCCCTGAGCTGCAAAACCAGCAAGTTTTTATTAGTGATTTTCAAAAAGGGAGGGAGTGTACAAATAGCATGTGGGTCACAGAGATCACAAGCTACACATGGTAATAAAATATCACAAGGCAAATGGAGGCAGTGCGAGATCACAGGACCAGGGTGAAATTAAAATTGCTAATGAAGTTTTGGGCACGCATTGTCATTGAAAACATCTTATCAGGACACAGGGTTTGAGGGCAGACAACTGGTCTGACCAAAATTTATTAGGCGGGAAGTTCCTCATCCTAATAAGCCTGGCAGCACTATGGGAGACTGGGGTTTATTTCATCCCTAATGTACAACCATAAAAGACAGACGTTCCCAAAGTGGCCATTTCAGAGTCCTCCCCTTGGGAACACATTCTCTTTCTCAGGCATGTTCCTTGCTAGAAAAAGTATTCAGTGATATTTTTGCTATTTGCTTCTGAAGGAAGAGAACTATGGCTCTGTTCCACCCAGCCCACAGGCAGCCTGACTTTAAGGTTATCTCCCTTTTCCCTGAACATCGCTGTTATCCTGTTCTTTTTTTAAGGTGCCCAGATTTCATATTGTTTAAACAATTTTTGCAGTTAACGCAATCATCACATGGTTCTGAGGCAACATTCACCCTCAGCTTATGAAGATGACAGAATTAAGAGATTAAAGTAAAGACAGGCATGGGAAATCACAAGAGTACTGATTGGGGAAGTGATAAGTGTCCATGAAATCTTCACAATTTATGTTCAGCGATTGCAGTAAAGACAGGCATAAAAAATTATAAAAGTATTAATTTGGGGAACTAAAATCTGTCCATGGAATCTTCACAATTTAAGTTCTTCTGCCATGGCTTCCGCTGGTCCCTCCACTCGGTGTCCCTTAATTCCCACAACATCTCTCCCTTTCTTTTTATATAAATGTGCCATGGCAATGAAGGCTCGTTCATTCTATCGATTTTGATGCAGAATTCTTTGACTGGTCCAGCACACTAAAACAAGCTGATTAAACAGAGAAACATAATTCCAAAAGTTACTACAGTGGAGCCCCAAATAGACTTAATCCAAGTCGTGGGGTTTATTCCATAAAGATTATCTGCCACCTGATCTAATGCCTCAGCTCCAGGCACAATGGAATAGTGAGCTTGAGAGCCTCCAAAAATTTGTTTCTTTAATTTAGTTATGTCCAGTGATAAATTATCTTCCCTACCCAGAAGTTGTCCTTTGACCATTTTCCATGAATGATCAGTCTCATTATAGGAATATGGGGTGATACAGAAATCCAGTGTTTTCCAATCGCACTGCATTTTCATGCTATGTTCAAGACTCACTACCCGATCTACAAGCCAAATAACAGACTGTCTTAAATCATTAATTTGATTAGCCAATTTTTGATCAATGCCTTGTTGAGAATTCCACATTTGGGTGGAATTGGCTTGCCAATCATTAACAAAATGAGCTGTTTGAATAGATTGATGTAACACTATTCTGGCAGTGGTGGTCATTGCAGTGACTATAATTAGGCCCATGATCACAGTGATTAAAGTGAAAACAAATCTCTTAGATCTTTTTAGAATTCACTGTAACACTTCATTAATTAAATGTGTTGTGGGAGAGGATTCCTAAGTCTAAGCAAACTTACCAGAATCCGGATTCCTTCTCTAGCTCTAACCAACATTACACTTTTCCTGGAGTCAAAATGGTAGTTAATACAAGTGTATAAATGACAATTAATGCATTGGACAGTTTGATTGTTTGTCCAAATTTTGATGTTTCCCACTAACAGTATGTAAGGAGGCTTAACACAACTTTGTATGGGAACAGTCAGGTTGGAGGTAAGTAAAGTAGAATGTCTGGATCTATATTGATACTGAGAGAGGGGGACAGTAGTGGGGACAACAGACAGAATAGCAGAATAGTTTCCCCTTCCCAAATTCGCAGTCCAGACATGGCAATAGCCAATTTCCAAAGTTCTGGGTGTTCTGGGCTCAGAATGGGGAGTATCATACAAGGCCTCAGGGGGGTAATGACTTTATCTTCCCATTTTAAGGGAAAGAATTAACTACACCTCCTATGCAAAGTAGAATGATGATTCTAGTTCTCCTGTTAAGAAATAAAATAAGTAGCCTACAGGCATTCCTTTCTGCCAGAGAAGCAATTGTTTTTTAAATAGCCCTTTGGTGCCCAGCCTATTACTGAACCATATGAGTCATTTTTTAATATTACCGCATGTGAGTTAACACAATCTTCTCAAATTAAGGTTTTAGATGGGCCCTCAAAATTTTTAGGGCATGGTTTTCCTACAGGTTTATATTGAAAGTATGGGGTATCTCCCATTAATCCCCCTTTCGTTTGTATTAAAGGAGAAAGGGAGAGGCTAGAGACCAAAGGTCCTGGTTCCTCTAGCTGATCTCTCCAGAAGATAAACAGCCCAGACTTGAGTTTCTAGATGGATACAACCAGGTGCATGTCTGAGGCACAGAGTGGGGTATTTATAACCCATGGTAATATTAAATGCAGTACTTTCTTCTCCTGGTTGAGCAGGGCAAAAGTCATCTGTAGCTCCAGGCATCCACACACTATCACTAGTGTAGATTTCTGCAGGAGTATCTATCCAGGTGAGAGGTCGAATAAGTGGAGGAAAAGGCACATAAGCACAAAAAGAATAATTTTGTGTAGCAGGTAAACCATTGTGAGAGGAAACTGGTAAGATAGAAAGTATAAGGAGGAGAATCATTAAATAAAACCCATTGTAAGTGAGATTGAATGCTAAAGGAGGAAGAGAAGAACAGAGGGATGTTATTTTCAGGCCAATAGAAATGGTGAGATTTTTAGGTTTGTAAGAAGAAAAGAAAAGGTAATCAGGAGAAGTGGGATTAGTTAGATGGGTCTACATTGACATCAGGGAGGATTGAATCAGTGATTTGGTGTGCCTGCTTCTGAGGAGTCGTCACAGATCTCACCATGTCTGAGGGCAGTCTCTGACATGGACGTCTTTTCCCTGTGGTTTTCATTGTCAGTATACACCCGAAGCTTGAGGCTCCTGGTGGGTACCCAGAAAGGGGATTGATGATCTCCTGGTGAAACAAAAGTATAGCCTCTTCCCCACGTTATAATTGTGCCAGGTTCCCAAGTATTAGTTTGGGAGTTTTTCCATAACACTGGGTTGCCTTTGTTTAGGGAGAATTTTTTGCCTGTATAATGGCGTTTGGCTGCAGTTAGATTATTATCTTTAGGAACATTTAAAAAATTTAAAGTAAACAATGCTAAATGTAATTGGGAGTGGGGGTTAGTTAAATTATGTTTTTGTTGTTCAGACTGTTTGGACAATTGGGTTTTTAAAGTGTGATTGGCCCATTCCACCACAGCTTGTCACTGAGGATTATAAGGGATTCCAGTAATATGGGAAATTCCCCACTGTTGCATAAATAAGTCAAAAGCCTTACTAACATATCCAGGGACCTTGTCTGTCTTTATTTGATATGGAAGCCCAATAACTGCAACAGAAGAAAACAGATTTTTTTAACATGGGCCATGCCTTCCCCTGTTTGATAAGTAGCCCAGATGAAACCTGAGAAGGTAGCTACAGAAACATGCACATATGACAGTCTGCCAAAGGAGCTAACATGAGTCACATCCATTTGCTGTAAACCATTAGGAGTTAGGCCTCTGGGATTAATGTCAGGTTCCTGATTTGGAAGTACAAAGACCTGACACTGAGGGCAGCTGTGAACAATAAACTTAGCCTGTTTCCAGGTAAGAGCAAATTTATCTTTTAATCCAGCAGCATTGACATGAGTGAGATTATGGAACTCCTTAGCTTCTTGGGTTGCAAAAGAGACCAAACAGTCAACTTTATGGTTACCAGCAGACATGAGTCCTGGTAAAGTGGTATGAGATCTAATATATGTAATATAGAAAGGGTATCTAGGTTGGTGAACCGCCTGTTGTAACCTTGAAAATAAAGAAACCAGTTCAGAATTATCAACATATTTGATAGTAGCAGTTTCTATATTTTTAGTGGCATGTACAACATAAGCAGAGTCAGATACAATATTTATAGGTTTGGGGGAAATCCTGTAAGGCAGTAATCACAGCAATTAACTCTGCCTTTTGAGCAGATGTATAAGAGGCAGAAATAAGCTTGTCTGTAGGATCTACATAACCAGCATTGCCAGTACTAGAGCCATCAGTGAACACTGTAACTGCCTCAGGAATGGGCTGATCTTTGGTTAATTGAGGGACAACCCAAGACGTCATTTTCATAAACTCAAACAATTTGTTCTTTGGATAATGATTGTCAATAACACCAAAGAAATCAGCCAAGTGAATTTTCCACACTATGGAATGTTGAAAAGCGGCTTGAACTTTGAGCTGATTTAAAGGAACTACCATTAAATTCGGATCAAATCTGGAAATTTGAAGTATTCTACACTAAGTCTGTCCAATTAAGATGGCTATTTGGTCGAGATAAACAAAATTTTTGACACAGAATGAGGAAGAAAACACCACTCCACTAAAGCATTATTTTGAACTATTAGTCCAGTAGGGGAATGTAATGAAGGGAAAACCAGAAGCTGAAAAGGCTGAAGTGGCTGTACTCTAGATAACTGGGTGGCCTGGATTCTTTCCTCTAAGAATTCCAGTTCTAGTGAAGCCTCAGGTGTCAAAGTCCTGGGACTGCAGAGGTTGGAATCTCCCCACAGGGTAGAAAACAAGTTAGACAGTGCATAGGTCAGAATACCTAAAATAGGTCTTAAATAATTAATGTTACCCAAAAGTTTTTGGAAGTCTTTTAAAGTTTTTAAGGAATCTCTCCTAATATGAACTTTTTGAGGTTAAATACGTTGTTTATCAACCACCATTCCTAAATATTGAGCAGGAGTGGTCAGTTGAATTTTATCGTGAGTGATGGGTAATCCAGCCTCTGTAACATGGGGCCTCAAAATTTGATAACAGTCAATTAATTCTTTATCAGTGGGGGCAGTAATTAAAATATCATCAATATAATGAAGAATATACGCCTGGAGAAATTGGGCTTCAACTGCTGAAAGCACTGTCCAACATAAAGCTGGCAGATTGTAGGGCTATTCAGCATTCCCTGAGGAAGTACTTTCCATGATAACGAGTTGCAGGCTCCTGATTATTGACAGGTGGTACAGTAAAAGCAATTTTTTCAGAATCTTATTTATGTAAAGCAATGTGAAAAAATCTTTAAGATCAATAACTATGAGAGGCCAAAATTTAGGTATTAAAGAAGAGGCAGGCATGACAGGTTGGATGGCCCCCATAGGTTTAATTACAGCATTAATGGCCCTTAAATTGGTTAGCATCTGCCACTTGGCTGATTTCTTTTTCATTAGAAACACAGGAGAATTCTAGAGGGAAAGAGAAGGTTCCACATTTCCAAGTTGTAGCTGTTCAGAAACCAAGTGAGTTAAAGCCTCCAGTTTTTGCTTAGAAAGTGGCCACTACTGAATCCAAATGGGTGTGTCAGATTTTCATTGTAAGGGGATAGGATCAGGAGGTGTGGCAGTGGCTGCCACTAAAAATGATCATCTAAACCAGCCCTGTCTTATTTTACAGTAACTGGGAAGGGTTTAGTAATCTTTTCATGCCTTTAGACCAAGACTGATCCCAGGAGCCAACCCCATGTTTTCCATCATATGCTGACTGGGAGCACTATAAGAGTTATGTGGAATATTAATTTCAGCCTCAGTATCTACTAGGCTCTCAAAACTTTTTCCCTTGAATGTGTACAATGCAGGTGGGCCATTGTTTAGAAATAACATTAATCCAATAAGTGGCTTTCTCACTACCAGGGCCCATCCCAAGGCCATGTGTCTTATCTCTTTTGTTTAAAATGATATTAGGTAGTAAAAGCAATTGAATTTGTTTAACAGTAGTAAAAGAAACAGGAGCTTGGCCTGGGCATATAATTTTTCCCAAGCACTCATACACACGTTTGTTACTTGTTATGTGGTAAGAGCATCAAAGTTTAATTGGGCATAAACATCAGAGAAACTATCAGAGACTGTGAGCTGAGCCTGAGTAATTAGAATGTCATTAGTCCAATTTAGCTGAGCCTGCAAATGGGCTTCCACTGCCCACCAGGCTGCGATGGGGTTAGAAAAGCTTTTTGCCAAAAGATCCCAGTCTAAAGGAAGCAAAACAACTTCAGTACAAAAAGTTTGTATTACCATTTTAACATAAGGAGAAGTAGGACCATACTGAGTACAAACATCCTTAAATTGCTTTAAAAAGGTAAGATTCAGAGGTACATAATGATGCAGACAGGTTGAGGAACTGAAATGACAGGAGGGTGAGGGGCTGTAGTGGATGGGGGAGGACCTGGAGAATTATAGGTAAATTGTAGTTTCATCCCAGAACCATTAGCTGATCCTGGAGGTTTGAAGAGAGAAGAATTAGCATATCTATGGTCCCAGGCTGTGTGAGTCAGGGCCACAGGAGCTTCAAGTACTGGCTCTTCATGAAAAGAAGTAAGATAGGTAAGGGGTAATGTTAAGCCAAAGTCATCGGAGTTAGACAATGAATTTTCAGCATTGTTAGGTAGGGGAGGTGTAGCTGAAGGGAGAGGCTAATGAGATAACGAGGGCAGTGTGGGAGTGGAAGGCTGAGGAAAAGGTAGAGAAACCGAATAGCTTAGTTGATGAAGCGTGAGACTCTTAATCTCAGGGTAGTGGGTTCAAGCCCCACATTGGACACCAGATATCAGGGGAAACCAGGCCCTGATATTCACGTGGGTCCTTTTCTATTTTCCCTAAGTGTCAGCTTGTCTGAGAAATAAAGGGAAAGAGTACAAAAGAGAGAAATTTTAAAGCTGGGTGTCCGGGGAAGACATCATATGTCAGCAGGTTCCATTATGCCCCCTGAGTCACAAAACCAGCAAGTTTTTATTAGCGATTTTCAAAAGGGAATGGAGTGTATGAATAAGGTGTGCATCACAGAGATCACATGCTGCACACAGTAATAAAATATCACAAAGCAAATGGAGGCAGGGTGAGATCATAGGACCGGGGTGAAATTAAAATTGCTAATGAAATTTTGGGCACGCACTGTCATTGATAACATCTTATCAGGAGACAGGGTTTGAGAGCAGACAACCAGTCTGACCAAAATTTATTAGGCTGGAAGTTCCTCATCCTAATAAGCTTGGGAGCATGATGGGAGACTGGGGCTTATTTCATCCCTTATCTACAACCATAAAAGATAGACCTTCCCAAAGCAGCCATTTCAGAGACCTCCTCTTGAAAACATATTCCCTTTCTCAGGGATGTTCCTTGCTGAGAAAAAGAATTCAGCTATATTTTTCTAGTTTTTATCAGAAGATAATATCTTTTTCACTATAGGCCTATATGAGCTCCCACATATCCATTCACAGAACGGACAAAAACAGTGTTACCAAACTGCTAAATCAAAAGAAAAGTTAACTCTGTGAGATGAATGCACACATCACAAAGCAGTTTCTCAGAAAGCTTCTTTCTAGCTTTTATCTGAAGACAATTTCTTTTTCTCCATAGGCCTCAATG
Source organism: Homo sapiens (assembly GCF_000001405.40). NCBI lineage: Eukaryota > Metazoa > Chordata > Mammalia > Primates > Hominidae > Homo > Homo sapiens. The sequence continues at coordinate 54,758,482 of NC_000011.10, read as the reverse complement.
TGCTCCCAAATATCCCTGTGTCTATTTTACAAAAACAGTGTTTCCAACAGTTGAATGAAAACAAAGGTTTACCACTGCAAGATAAACGCATACATCACAAAGCAGTTTCTCAGATTGATTCCTTCTAGTTTTTACCCTGGGATATTCACTTTTTCTCCGATGACCTCAATGAGCTCCCAAATGTCCATTCACAGAATGGACAAAAACAGTGTTTCCAAACTGCTGAATGAAAAGAATGGTTTACCTCTGTGAGATGAAAGCACACATCACAAAGCAGTTTCTCGATTGCTTCCTTCAAGTTTTTATCCTGGGAAATTCGCTTTTTCTCCAATGGCCTCAATTCGCTTTTTCTCCAATGGCCTCAATGAGCTCCCAAATGTCCATTTACAGAATGGACTAAAACAGTTTCCAAACTGCTGAATCAAAAGAAAGGTTTACCTCTGCCAGGGAATGCACACATCACAGACTGGTTTCTCTGATAGATTCCTTTTAGTTTTTCTCTGTGGATATTTGCTTTTTCACCAATGGCATCAATGAGCTTCCAAATTTCCATTTGCAGAATGTACAAAAACAGAGTTTCAAAACTGCTGAATGAAAAGAAAGGTTTAATTCTGTGATATGAATGCACACATCACAAAGCATATTCTCAGAAAGCTTCTTTCTACTGTTTCTTTGAAAATATTTTCTTTTTCACCATAGGCCTCAATGCACTCCCAAATATCCCTTCTTAGTTTTTACAAAAACAGTGTTTACAAACTGCTGACTGAAAAGAAATGTTTAATTCTGTGAGATGAATGCACACATCACAAAGTGGTTTCTCGATAGCATATATCTAGTTTTTAGCTCAAGATATTTTCTTTTTTACCATAGGCATCAATGTACTACTAAATACCCCTTTGCAGATTCTGCCAAATAAGTGTTTCCAAACTGCTGAATGAAAACAAAGGTTGAACTCTGTGAGATGAATGCACGCATCAAAAAGGGCTTCTCTGATAGCTTCCTTCTAGTTTTTATCTGGGGATATTCGCTTTTTTGCCTTTGGCCTCAATGCCCTCTCAAAACTCCATTCACCCAACCGACAAAAACAGTGATTCCAAACTGCTGAATGAAAAGAAGTCTTTAACTCTGTGAGATGAATGCACACATCACAAAGCGGTTTCTCAGAAAGCTTCTTCCTACTTCATACCTGAAGATACTTTCTTTTTCACCATAGGCCTCAATGCACTCCCACATATTCTCCTGCAGATTCTAAAAAAACAGTGTTTCCATACCACTGAATCAAAAGAAAGTTTAAATCAGTGAAATGAATGCGCACATCACAAAGCAGTTTCCTAGAAAGCTTCTTTCTAGTTTTTATCAGAAGATATTTTATTTTTCACCATGGGCCTCAATGCCCTCCCAAATATCCTTTCAAATATACTACAAAAACAGTGTTTCCAAACTGCTGAATGAAAACAGAGGTTTAGCTCCGTGAGATGAATGTGCACATCACAAACCAGTATCTCAGATAGCGTCCTTCTAGTTTTTATCCTGGGATATTCAATTTTTTGAGAAAGGCATCAATGAGCTCCCAAATGTCCATTCACAGAATAAAAAAAAAAACCAGTGTTTCCAAAATGCAGAATGAAAATAAAACTACAACTCTGAGAAACGAATGCACAATTCACAAAGTAGTTTCTCAGAAAGCTTCTTTCTACTTTTTATCTGAAGATATTTTCTATTTCAACATAGGCCTGAATGTGCTCTGAAATATCCCTATGCAGATTCTAAAAAAACAGTGAGTCCAAACTGCTGAATTAAAAGAATGTTTTAACTATGTGAGTTGAATACACACACCCCCATGCAGTTTTTCAGAAAGCTTCTTTATACTTTTTCTCAGAAGATATTTTCTTTTTTACCATTGGTCTCAAAGCACTCCCAAATGTCTGTTCACAGAAGGGAAAAAAACAGTGTTTCCAAACCGCTAAATCAAAAGAATGGTTGAACTCTGCGAGACAAAGCATGGTTTAACTCTGTGAGACTAATGCACACATCACAAAGCGGTTTCTCAGATATCTTCCTTCTTGTTTATCTGGGGATATTTGCTTTTTTGCCATTGGCCTCAATGAGCTCCCAAATATCACTTTAGAGATTCTACAAAGCAGTGTTTCCAAACTGCTGAATGAAAAGATAGTTTAACTCTGTGAGATGAATGCACACATCACAAAGCTGTTTTTCAGATAGGCTGCTCCTAGTTTTTCCTGGGATATTCGGTTTTTCACCATTGGCCTCAATGAGTTTCCAAATGTCCAGTTGCAGAATCGACAAAGACAGTGTTTCCAAACTGCTGAATCAAAAGAAATGTTTAACTCCATATGATGAATGCACACATCACAGTTTCTCAGAATGTTTCTTTCTAGTTTTTATCTGAATATATTTTCTTTTTTACCATAGGCCTCAAAGCACTCTCAAATATCTCTTTGCAGATTCTACAACACCAGTGTTTCCAAACTGCTGAATCAAAAGAAAGGTTTAGATTGTGAGAAGAAGGCACACATCAAAAAGCAGTTTTCAGATAGTTTCCTGCTGGTATATATCTTGGGATATTTGCTTTTTCACCATTGGCCTCAATGAGCTCACAAATATCCCTTCAGAAATTCTGAAAACAATAACGTTTCCAAACTGCTGAATGAAAACAATGGTTGAACTCTGAGAGATGAATGAACACATCAGAAAGCAGATTCTCAGATAGCATCCATCTAGTTTTTGTCCTGGGATATTCACTGAGTGAAAAGAAAGATTTAACTCTGTGAGATGAATGCACACTTCACAAAGCAGTTTCTCAGAAAGCTTCTTTCTAGTTTGTATCTGAAGATTTTTCTTTTTTCACAATAGGCCTCAATGTGCTCCCAAATATCCCTTTGCAGATTCTACTAAAACAGTGTTTCCAAACTGCTCAATATAAAGAAAGATTTAACTCTGTGAGATTAATGCACACATCACACAGCGGTTTCTCAGATAGCTTCCTTCTAGTTTTTATCCTGGGATGTTCACTTTTCACCATTGGTCTCAATGAGCTCTGAAACGTCCGTTCGCAGGACGTACAAAAACAGGGTTTCCAAACTGCTGAAACAAAAGAAAGGTTTAGTTCTGTGAGATGAATGCACAAATCGCAAAGCAGCTTCTCAGACAGCTTCTTATTTTTAGATGAAGATATTTTCTTTTTCACCATAGGCTTCAAGACACTCCAAATATGCTTTTGCAAATAGTACAGAAAATGTGATTCAAAACTGCTGAATCAAAAGAATCCTTTAACTCTAGATATGAATGGAAACATCACAAAGCATTTTCTCAGATAGCTTTTTACTATTTTTTATCATGGGATATTCACTCTTTTGCCATTGGCTTCAATGAGCTTCGAAATGTCCAATTGCAGAATGGGCAAAAACTGTGTTTATAAATTCCTGAATCATAAGAATGGTTGAACACTATAAGATGAAAACACACATTACACAGCAGTTTCTCATAAAGCTTCTTTCTACTTTTTATCAGAAGATATTTACTTTTTCACCATAGGCCTTGAGACACTCCAAAATATCCTTTCACAGAATTTAAAAATCAGTGTTTCCAAACTACTGAGTCAAAAGAAAGATTTAACTCTGTGAGATGAATAAACACGTCACAAAGGAGTTTCTCACATAGATTCCTTCTAGTTTTTATCTTTGGATATTCATTTTTTTGCATTGGATCCAATTAGCTCCCAAATATCCATTTGCAGAATGTACAAAAACAGTGTTTCCAAATTCCGGAATCAAAACAAAGTTTGAACTGTGAGAGATGAATGCACACATCACAAAGCAGTTTCTCAGAAAGCTTCTTTCTAGTTTTTATCTGATGATATTTTCTTTTTCACCATAGGCCTCAGCTGGCTCCCTAGTGTCCTTTCACAGATTCTAGAAAAGCAGTGTTTCCAAACAGCTGAATCAAGAGAAAAGTTGAACTCTGTGATATGAATGCACACATCATAAACTGGTTTCTTGGATAGCTTCCTTCTACTTTTCACCCTGCAATATTCGCTTTTTTGACTTTGGCCTCAAAGAGCTCACAAATGTCCATTTGCAGATTCTACAAACACAATGTTTCCAATGTGTGGAATCAGGAGAAAGGTTTAACACTGTGAGATAAATGCACACATCATGAAGCAGTTTCTCAGAAAGCTTCTTTCTACTTTTTATCTGAAGATTTTTCTTTTTCAAGATAGGCCTCAATGGGCTCCCAATTGTCCATTCACAGATTCTTCAAAAACACTGTTTCCAAATTGCTGAATCAAAACCAAGTTTAACCCTGTGACATAAATGCACACATCACAAAGCAGTTTCTCAGAAACTTCTTTCAAGTTTTTATCTGAAGGTATTTTCTTTTTCACCATAGGCCTCACTGTGCTCCAAATGTCCTTTTCAGATTCTACAGCAAAGTTTTTCCAAACTTCTGAATCAAAAGAAAGGTTTACCTCTGTGAGATGAATGCACATATCACAAAGCAGTTTCTCAGAAAGCTTCTTTCTAATTTTTCTCAGAAAATATTTTCTTTTTCACCATAGGCTTCAATGCTCTCAAAGATGTCCAATTGAAGAATGTACAAAACACCATTTCCAAACTGCAGAATCAAAAGGAAGGTTTAACTCTGTGAGATGAATGCACATATCAGAAATTGGTTTCTCAGAAAGCTCCTTTCTAGTTTTTATCTGAGGATATATGTTTTTTGACAATAGTCTTCAATGTGCTCCCAAATATCCCTTCACATATTCCACAAAAACAGTGTTTCCAACCTGCTGAATAAACAGAAAGTTTTATCTGTGTGAGTTTAATGCACACGTCACAAAGCAGTTCCTCAGAAAGCTTCTTTCTAGTTTTTATCTGAAGACATTTTCTTTTTCACCACAGGCCTCAATGAGCTCCCAAATATTCCTTTGCAGTTTCTAAAAAACAGTGTTTCCAAATGACTGAATGAAAAGAAAAGTTTGTCTCTATGAGATGAATGGACATATCACAAAGCCTTGTCTCAGATAGCTTCCTTCAACTTTTTATCCTGAGATATTCACTTTTTCATCATTGGCCTCTAAGAGCTCCCAAATATCCATTCCCAAAATGGACAAAAACAGTGCTTCCAAACTGCTGAATCAAAAGAAAGTTTTAACTCTGTGAGATGAATGCACACATCAAAAAGCATTTTCTCTGAAAGCTTCTTTCAAGCTTTTTTCTGAAGATATTTTCATTTTTACCATAGGTCTCAATGTGCTCCCAAACATACCTTTGCAGATTGTAGAAAAACAGTTCATTCCAAATTGCTGAGTCAAAAGAAAGTTTAACTGTGTGATTTGAATGCACACTTCACAAAGCAGTTACTCAGAAAGCCTCTTTCTTCTTTTAAAAGAAGGTATTTTTTTGCACCATGGGCCTCAAGGGGCTACCAAGTGTCCATTCACACAAAGTACAAAAACTGTGTTTCCAAACTGCTTAATCAAAAGAAAGGTTTAAATCTGCAAGATGAAGTCACACATCACAAATGGTTTCTCAGATAGTTTCCTTCTAGTTTATATCTCGGGATATTTGCTTTTTTGCCTTTGGCCTCAATGAGCTCCCAAATATCCATTCACAGAATGGACAAAAACAGTGGTTCTTAAACTGCTGAATGAAAAGAAAGGCTTAATTCTGTGAGATGAATGCACACAACACAAACAGTTTTTCAGAGAGCTTCTTTCTAGTTATTATCAGAGGACATTTTCTTTTTCACAACAGGCCACAATGCATTCCCAAATATCCCTTCGCAGATTCTACAAAAACAATGTTTCCAAACAGCTGAATGAAAAGAGAAGTTTAACTTTGTGAGATGAATGCAGATATCACAAAGCAGTTTCTCAGATAGCTTTATTTCGTTTTCATCTTGGCATATTCACTTTTTTGCCATTGGCCTCCATCAGCTCCCAAATGTCCACTCACAGAATGGACAAAAACAGTGTTTTCAAACTGCTGAACCAAAAGAAATGTTTAACTCTGTGAGATGAATACAAACGTCACAGAACAGTTTCTCAGAAAGCTTCTTTCTAGTTTTTATCTGAATATCCCTTCTCAGATTCAACAAAAGCAGTGTTTCCAACCTGCTGATTCAAAAGAAAAGTTTAACTGTACGTGATGAATGCACAGATCACAAAGCAGATTCACAGACAGCTTCCTGCCAGTTTTTTTCCTGACATATGTGCTTTTTTGCCATTGGCCTCAATGAGCTCTGAAAAGTACATTTGCAGAATGGACAAAAACAGTGTTTCGAAATTGCTAAATCAATAAAAGGTTTAACTTTGTGAGATTAATGCACCCATCACAAAGCAGTTTCTCAGAAAGCTTCTTTCTATGTTTTATCTGAAGATATTTTCTTTTTTACCATATGCCTCGACGTGCTCTCAAATATCCCTTCACAGGTTCTACAAAAACAGTGTTTCCAAACTGCTGAATGAAAAGAATGATTTAACTCTGACAGGTGAATGCATACATCTCAAAGGAGTTTCTCAGATAGTTTCATTCTAGTTTTTATCTGAAGATATTTTCCTTTTACACGATAGGCCTCCAGCACTCCAAAGTGTTCGTTGGTAGAATGGAGAAAAACAGTGTTTCCAAACTGCTGAATCAAAGGAAGGTTTAACTGTGAGATGAATGTACACATCACAAAGCCGTTTTTCTAGTATTTACATGAAGATATTTTCTTTTTCACCAAAGGCCTCAATGCCCTCCCAAATATTGCTTTGCAGATTGCACAAAAACAGTGTTTCCAAACTGCTGAATGAAAACAAAGGTTTACCTGTGTGAGCTGAACGCACACAGCACAAAACAGTTTATCAGAAAGCTGATTCCTCCTTTTAATCTGAAGATTTTTTTTCACCATATGCCTCAATACGCACCCAAAAGTCCATTTGTAGATCCTACAGAAACAGCGGTTCCCAATTGCTGAATCAAAAGAAAGTTTTAACTCTGTGAGATTAATGCACACATCATAAAGTGGTTTCTCAGATAGCTTCCTCCTAGTTTATACCTCGGGATATTCACTTTTTTGCCATTGGTCTCAATGAGCTCCCAAATACCCATTCACAGAATGGACAAAAACAGTGTTTCCAAACTGCTGAATCAAAGGAAAAGTTTAGCACTCTGAGATGAATGCACACATAACAAAGCAGATTATCAGAAAGCTTCATTCTTGTTTTCATTGGAAGATATTTCCTTTTTCACCACAGGCATCAATATGCTCCCAAATGTACATTTGAAGATTCTACACAAACATTGTTTCCCACCTGCTGAATCAAAAGAATGGTTTAACTTTGTGAGATGAACGCAAACATCACAAAGCTGTTTCACAGATAGATTCATTCTACTTAATACAGGGATATTCCCTTTTACACCGTTGACCTCAATGAGTTCTCAAATATCCCTTCAGAGAATCTTCAAAAACAGTGTTTCCAAACTGCAGAAAGAAAAGAAAGTTTTAACTCTGTGAGAAGAATGCACACATCCAAAAGTAGTTTATCAGATACCTTCCTTCTAGTTTTTAATCCTGGGATAATTGCATTTCTGACATTGGCCTCAAACAGCTCCCAATGTCCATTCTCAGAATGGACAAAAACAGTGTTTCCAAACTGTTGAATCAAAAGAAAGATTTACCTTGTGAGATCAATGCACACATCACAAAGCAGTTTCTCAAAAAGCTTCTTTCTTGTTTTTATCTGAAGATATTTTCCTTTTTACCCTAGGCCTCAATGTGGTCCAAAATATCCCTTCTCATATTTTACAAAAACAGTGTTTTCAAACTGCTTAGTGAAAAGAAACGTCTCTCTCTGTGAGATGAATGCACACATCACAAAGCATTTTCTCAGATAGCTGCCTCAGAATTTTTTTCCTCGAATATTCGCTTTTTTGCCATTGGCCTCAATGAGCTCCCAAATGTCCATTCACAGAATGGAAAAAAACATTGTTTCCAAGCTGCTGAATCAAAAGTAAGGTTTAACTCTGTGAGATGAATGCACACATCACAAAGCATTTTCTCAGAAAGCTTCTTTCTAGTTTTTATATTAAGGAATTTCCTTTTTCACCATAGGCCTCAATATGCTCCCGAATATCACTTTGAAGATTCTACAAATACCGTGTTTCCAAACTGCTGAAAGAAAAGAAAGGTTTACTTATGTTAGATGAATGCACACATCACAAGCAGTTTCTCAGATAGCTTTTTTCTATTTTTTATCAGAAGATACTTTCTTTTTCACCATAGGCCTCAATGTGCTCCCAAATATCCCTTCACAGATTCTACAAAATCAGTGTTTCCAAACTGCTGAATGAAAAGACAGGTTTAACTCTGTGACGTGAATACACACATCACAAAGAAGTTTTACAGATAGCTTCCTTCTAGTTTTTATCCTGGGATATTCACTTTTTTGCCATTGGCCTCAATGAGCTCCCAAATGTCCATTAGCAGGAAGGAAAAAAATAGTGTTTACTAACTGCTGAATCAAAAGAAAGGTGTACAACTGTGAGATAAATGCTAAAATCACAAAGCAGTTTCACAGAAAGCTTCTTTCCAGTTTTTATCTGAAGATATTTTCTTTCTCAAAAAAGGCCTCAATGGGCTAAAAAAAAAAGGCCCATTGGTATATTCTAAAAAACAGTGTTTCCAAACTGCTTAATCAAAAGAAAGTCTATCTCTGCAAGATGAATGCACATATCACAAAGCAATTTCTGAGATAGCTTCCTTCTGTTTTTATCCTGGGATATTCTCTTTTTCAACTTTGGCTTCAATGAGCTAATTAATGCCAATTCACAGATTCTACAAACACAGTGTTTCCAATGTGCTGAATCAAAAGGAAGATTTAGCACTGTGTGATGAATGTACACATCAAAAAGCAATTTCTCAGAAAGCTTCTTTATAGTTTTATCTGAAGGTATTTTCTTTTTCATCATAGGCCTCAATGAGCTCCCAAATGTCCATTTGCAGAACGTACAAAAACAGTTTTTCCAAACTACTGAATCAAAACAAAGGTTGAACACTGTGACATGAATACACACATCACAAAGCAGTTTTTCTGAAATTTCTTTCTGGTTTTTACCTGAAGATATTTTCTTTTTCACCATATGCCTCAATGTGGTCCCAAATTTCCTTTCACAGATTCTACAGAAACAGTGTTTCCAAACTGCTGAATCTAAAGAAACTTTTAACTCTGTGAGATGAATGCACAAAGTGGTTTCTCTGAGAGCTTCCTTCTAGTTTTTACCATGGGATATTTACTTCTTCAGCATTGACCCCAATAGCTCCCAAATATCCATTCGCAGCATGCACAAAAATTGTGTTCCCTAACTGAAGAATCAAAACATGGTTTAACACTGTGCAATGAATGCACACATCACAAAGCACTTTATCAGAAATCTTCTTTCTACTTTTTGTCTGAAGATATTTTATTTTTCACTGTAGGACTCAACAAGCTCCAAAATGTCCATTCCCAGAATGTACCAAAACAGGGTTTCCTACCTGCTGAATCAAAAGAAAGGTTTAACTCTGTGAGATCAATGCACACATCACAAAGTGGTTTCTCAGATAGTATCCTTCTAGTTTTTATCCTGGGATATTTGCTTTTTCACCTTTGGCCTAAATGAGCCCCCAAATGCCAATTTGCAGAATACACAAAATCAGTGTTTCCAAACTACTGAATCAAAAGAGTGTTTTAACTCTGTGAGATGAATGCACACATCACAAAGCAGTTACTCACAAAGCTTCTTTCTGGTTTGTATCTGAAGATATTTTCTTTTTCATCATAGGCATCTACACGTGCCTATGATCTTATCTGAAGAAAAGATCTTCAGATAAAAACTAGAAAAAAGCTTTGTGAGAAACTGCTTTGTGACGTGTGCATTCATCTCACAGGGTTAAACCTTTCTTTTGATTCAGCAGTTTGGAAACACTGTTTTTGTTCTTTCAACGAATGGACATTTGGGAGCTCATTGAAGCCAAAGGCAAAAAAGTGAATAGCCCAGGATAAAAACTAGAAGGAAGCTATCTGAGAAACTGCTTTGTTATGTGTGCATTCACCTCGCAGAGTTAAACCTTTCTTTTAATGCAGCAGTTTGCAAACACCGTTTTTGCAGAATCTGTGAAGGGATATTTGGGAACGGATTGAGGCCTAAGGTGAAAAAGTAAATATCTTCAGATAAAAACTAAAAAGATGCTTTCTGGTAAACTTCTTTGTGATATCTGCATTCATCTCACAGAGTTAAACCTGTCTTTTGATTCAGCAGTTTGGAAAGCCTGTTTTTGTCCATTCTGCAAATGGACATTTGGGAACTCATTGAGTCCAGTGGCCAAGAACCACATATGCCAGGATAAAAACTGGAAGGATGCTATCTGAGAAACTGCTTTGTGATGCGTGCATTCATCTCACAGAGTTAAAGCCCTCTTTTCATTCAGCAGTTTGGAAACACTGATTTTGCACATTCTGCGAATGGACATTTGGTAGCACATTGAGGCCTATAGCAATAAAGAAAATATCTTCTGATAAACTGGAAAGAAGGTTTCTGAGAAACTGCTTTACGATGTGTTCATTCAACTCACATAGTTAAACCTTCCTTTTTATTCAGCAGTTTGGAAACACTGTTCTTGTAGAATCTGTGAAGAGATATTTCACTGTGCATTGAGATCAATGGTTTAAAACAAAATATCTTCAGATAAAAACTAGAAAGAAACTCTCTGGGAAACTGTTTAGTGTTGTGTGCATTCATCTCACAGAAGTAAACCTTGCTTTGGATTCAGCAGTTTGGAAACATTGTGTTTGTAGAATCTGTGAAAGGACATTTGGGAGCTTACTGAGGCCTATGGTTAAAAAGTGAATATCCCCGGTTAAAAGCTAGAAAGAAACTATCTGTAAAACTGCTTTGTGATGTGTGGATACACCTAAAAGATTTAAGCCTTTATTTTCATTCATCAGTTTGGAAACACTGTGTTTGTAGAGTCTGCAAAGGTACATAAGGGAGCACTTTGAGGCCTATGGTAAAAAAGCAAATATGCCCAGATAAAAACTAGAAAGAAGCTACCTGTGAAACGGCTTTGTGGTGTGTAGATTCATCTCACGTAGTTAAACTTTTCTGTTAATTGAGCAGTTTGGGAAAACTGTTTTTGTAGAATCTGTGAAGGGACATTTGAGAGTTCATTGAGGCCTACAGTTAAAAAGTGAATGTTCCAGGACAAATACTAGAGAGAAGCTATCTGTGAAACCTTTTTGTGATGTGTGGGGATTTATATCACAGAGTTTAAAACTTTCATTTTATTCAGCAGTTTGGAACCACGGTTTTTGTGGAATCTTGAAGGGACATTTGGAAGCTCATTGTGGAGTATGGTGAAAAAGGGAATATCCCCGGATAAAAACTAGAAAGAAACTCTCTGTGAAACTGCTTTTGTCATATGCAGATTCATCTCACAGATTTAAACCTTTTCTTTGATTCAGCATATTGGAAACAGTCTTTTTTTGTAGAATTTGTGAAGGGACATTTGAGAGTGCATTGAAACATATGGTGATGAACCAAAAATCCCCAGATAAAAACTAGAAAGAAGCTATCTGTGAAACTGCTTTTTGATGTGTGGATTCATCTCACAGACATAAACCTTCCTTTTTACTCAGCAATTTGGAAACTTGTTTTTGTAGAAACCACGAAGGGACATTTTTTCTCATTGAGGTTAATGGAGAAAAAGTGAATAGCCGCAGATAAATACTAGAGAGAAGGCATCTGTGAAACAGCTTTGTGATGTGTGGATTCATCTCTCTGAGTTAAACCTTTCTTTTGATGTGGCAGATTGGAAACAGTTTTTTTATAGAATCATTGAAAGGATTTTTGAAGTTCATCGAGGCCTATGGTGAGAAACTAAATATCCCCAGATAAAAACCAGAAAGAAATTATGTGTGAAACTGCTTTGTGATGTTTGGATTCATCTCACCAAGTTAAACCTTTCTTTGTATTCAACAGCTTGGAAACACTGTTTTTGTAGAATCTGCAGAGGGCCATTTTGTAGCTCATTGAGGCCTGTGGTGAACAAGCAAATATCCCAGGATGAAAACTAGAAAGAAGCTATCTATTAAACTGCTTTGTCATGAGTGTATTCACCTCACAGAGTTCAGCCTTTCTTTTGATTCAGCAGTTTGGAAACACTGTTTTTGTAGAATCTGCATCGATACTTATGAGGGCTCACTGAGGCCTGTGGTAAAAAAGTGAATATCCCCAGATAAAAACTAGAAACTAGGTATATGTGTAATTTCTTCTTGATGTGTCTGTTTATCTCACAGAGTTAAACTTTTCTTTTGATTCAGCATTTTAGAAACCCTGTTTTTGTAGAATCTATGAGGGGACACTTGGGAGTTCATTCAGGCCTATGGTGAAAAAGCAAATATCCCCATTTAATAACTACAAATAAGTTATATGTGAAACTGCTTCATGGTGTGCGGATTCATCTTACAGTATTAAACCTTTCTTCTAATTGAGCAGTTTGGAAACAGTCCTTTTGTAGAATCTGTGAAGAAACACTTGGGAACTCATTGAGGCCTATGTTGAAAAAGCAAACATCCCAGGGTGAGAACTACAAAGAATTTATCTGTGAAACTGCTTGTGATGTGTAGATTCCTCTCACAGAGTTAAACCTTTCTTTGGATTCCGCAATTTGGAAACACTGTTTTGTAGAATCTGTGAAGGGACATTTGAAAGCTCATTGAGGGTATGGTAAAAAAAGTGAATATCCCAGGATAAATAATAGAAAGAAGCTATCTGTAAAACTGCTTTGTGATGTGTGGATTCATCTAGAGTTAAACCTTTCTTTTATTCAGCAGTTTGGAGCCACGGTTTTTGTAGAATCTGCAAAGGAATGTGTGGAAGCTCATTGAGGAGTATGGTGAAAAAGTGAATATACCCAGATAAAAACTGGAAAGGAGATATCTGTGAAACTGCATTGTGATGTGTCAATTCATGCTACAGTGGTAATCCTTTCTTCTGATTCAGCAGGTTGGAAACTATTTTTGTAGGATCTTTGAGGAAATGTTTGGGATCTCAGAACTGAAGGAAATAGAGACACAAAAAACCTTCAAAAATTAATGAATCCAGGGGCTGGCTTTTCGAAAACATCAACAAAATTGGTAGACTGAGTAGCAAGACTAATAAAGAGGAAAAGATAGAAGAATCAAACAGATGGAATAAAAAATGATAAAGGGGATAGTACCACCGTTCCCGCAGAAATACAAACTACCATCAGATAATACTATAAACACCTCGGCGCAAATAAACTAGAAAATCTAGAAGAAATGGATAAATTCCTCGACACTTACACCCTCCCAAGACTAAACCAGGAATAAGTTCAATCTCTGAATAGACAAATAACAGGCTCTGAAATTGAGGCAATAATTAATACCTTAGCAACTAAAGAAAGTCCAGGACCAGATGGATTCACAGCCGAATTCTACCACAGGTACAAGGAGGAGATGGCACCATTCCTTCTGAAACTATTCCAATCAATAGAAACAGAGGGAATCCTCCCTAATTCTTTTTATGAGGCCAGCATCATCCTGGTAACAAAACCGGGCAGAGACACAACAAAAAGAGACAATTTTAGACCAATATCCCTGATGAGCATCACTGCAAAAATCCTCAATAAAATACTGGCAAATCAAATCCAGCAACAAATCAAAAAGTTTATCCATCATGATCAGGTGGGCTTCATCCCTGGGATGCAAGGCTGGTTCAACTTATGAAAATCAATAAATGTAATACAGCATATAAACAGAACCAATGACAAAATCCACATGATTATCTCAATAGATGCAGAAAAGGCCTTTGACAAAATTCAACAACTCCTCATGCAAAAAACTCTCAATAAATTAGGTATTGATGGGACTTATCTCAAAATAATAACAGCTATCTATGACAATCCCACAGTCAATATCATATTCAATGGGCAAAACCTGGAAGCATTCCCTATGAAAACTGGCACAAGACAGGGATGCCCTCTCTCACTACTCCTATTCAACATAGTGTTGCAAGTTCTGGCCTGGGCAGTCAGGAAGGAGAAGGAAATAAAGGGTATTCAATTAGGAAAAGAGGAAGTCAAATTGTCCCTGTTTGCAGATGACATGATTGTATATCTAGAAATCCCCATTGTCTCAGCCCAAAATCTCCTTAAGCTGATAGGCAACTTCAGCAAAGTCTCAGGATACAAAATCAATGTGCAAAAATCACAAGCATTCTTATACACCAATAACAGACAAACAGAGAGCCAAATCATGAGTGAACTCCCATTCATAATTGCTTCAAAGAGAATAAAATACCTAGGAATCCAACTTACAAGGGATGTGAAGGGCCTTTTCAAGGAGAAATACACTGCTCAATGAAACAAAAGAGGATACAAAAAAATGGGAGGACATTCCATGCTCAAGGATAGGAAGAATCAATATCATGAAAATGGCTGTACTGCCAAAAGTAGTTTATAGATTCAATGCCATCCCCATTAAGCTAACAATGACTTTCTTCACAGAATTGGAAAAAACTACTTTAAAGTTAGTATGGAACCAAAAAAGAGCCCGCATTGCTAAGCCAAAAGATCAAAGCTGGAGGCATCATACTACCTGACTTCAAACTATACTACAAGGCTACAGTAACCAAAACAGCATGGTACTGGTACCAAAACAGAGATGTAGACCAATGGAACAGAAGAGAACCCTCAGAAATAATGCCACATATCTAAACCCATCTGGTCTTTGACAAACCTGACAAAAAAAAAGAAATGGGAAACTTATTCCCTGTTTAATAAATGGTGCTGGGAAAACTGACTAGCCATATGTAGAAAGCTGAAACTGGATCCCTTCCTTACACCTTATACTAAAATTAATTCAAGGTAGATTAAAGACTTTAATGTTAGTCTTAAACCCATCAAAACCCTAGAAGAAAACCTAGGCAATACCATTTAGGACATAGGCATGGACAAGGACTTCACGTCTAAAACACCAAAAGCCATGGCAACAAAAGCCAAAATTGACAAAAATGGGATCTAATTAAACTAAAGAGCTTCTGCACAGCAAAAGAAACTACCATCGGAGTGAACAGGCAACCTACAGAATGGGAGAACATTTTTGCAATCTACTCATCTGACAAAGGGTTAATATCCAGAATCTACAATCAACTCCAACAAATTTACAAGAAAAAAACAAACAACCCCATCAAAAAGTTGGTGAAGGATAGGAACAGACACTTCTAAAGAGAACACATTTATACAGCTAACAGACATGTGAAAAAATGCTCATCATCACTGGCCATCAGAGAAATGCAAATCAAAACCACAATGAGATACCATCTCACACCAGTTAGAATGGCGATCATTAAAAAGTCAGAAAACAACAGGTGCTGGAGAGGATGTGGAGAAATAGGAACACTTTTACACTGTTGGTGAGACTGTAAACTAGTTCAACCATTGTGGAAGTCAGTGTGGCAATTTCTCAGGGATCTAGAACTAGAAATACCATTTGACCCAGCCATCCCATTATTGGGTATACATCCAAAGGATTATAAATCATGCTGCTTTAAAGACACATGCACACATATGTTTATTGTGGCACTATTCACAATACCAAACACTTGGAACCAACCCAAATGTCCAACAATGATAGACTGAATTAAGAAAATGTGGCACATATACACCATGGAATACTATGCAGCCATAAAAAATGATGATTTCATGTCCTTTGTAGGAGCATGGATGAAGCTGGAAACCATCATTCTCAGCAAACTGTCACAAGGACAAAAAACCAAACACCGCCTGTTGTCGCTCATAGGTGGGAATTGAACAATGAGAACACATGGACACAGGAAGGGGACCATCACACACCAGGGCCTGTTGTAGGGTGGTGTGAATGGCAGGGACAGCATTAGGAGATATACCTAATGTTAAATGATGAGTTAATGGGTGCAGCACACCAACATGGCACATGTATACATATGTAACTAACCTGCACATTGTGCACATGTACCCTAAAACTTAAAGTATAATTTAAAAAAGGAAGAAAAAAAGTGAATAAATTTAGCTTTAAAGGAAAAAAAATTGGGCGAAGGATATGAACAGACACTTCTCAAAAGAAGACTTTTATGTGCCAAAAGACACATGAAAAAATGCTCATCATCAATGGCCATCAGAGAAATGCAAATCAAAACCACAATGAGATACCACCTCACACTAGTTAGAATGGCGACCATTAAAAAGTCAAGAAACAACAGGTGCTGGAGAGGATGTGGAGAAATAGGAACACTTTTACACTGTTGATGGGACTGTAAACTAGTTCAACCCTCATGGAAATCAGTGTGGTGATTCCTCAGGGATCTAGAACTAGAAATACCATTTGACCCAGCCATCCCATTATTGGGTATATACCCAGAGGATTATAAATCATGTTGCTGCTATAAAGACACATGCACACGTATTTTTATTGCAGCACTACTCACAATAGCAACGACTTGGAGCCAACCTAAATGTACAACAATGATAGACTGGAATAAGAAAATGTGGCACATATACACCATGGAATAGTATGCAGCCATGAAAAATGATGAGTTCATGTCCTTTGTAGGGACATGGATGAAGCTGAGAACCATCGTTCTCAGCAGACTACCTCAGGGACAAAAAACCAAACACTGCATGTTCTCACTCATAGGTGGGAATTGAAAAATGAGAACACATGGACACAGGAAGGGGAACATCAGACACCAGGGCCTGTTGTGGGGTGGGGGGAGGGGTGAGGGATAGCATTAAGGGATATACCTAATGTTAATTGACGAGTTATTTGGTGCAGCCCACCAGCATGGCACATCTATACATATGTGGCAAACCTGCACATTGTGCATATGTACCCTAAAACTTAAAGTATAATTAAAAAAAAATGTCCCTATATCTCCCCTACCTCATTCCAGTAAATTGAAAACCTTCACAATTTTTTAAAATAAATGGAAGATATGACATAAGACATCATACCTAGAGGACTAGATACCAACTGAAGACATACTCTAACTTGGGCAGAAATTAAGTCTTCAGATATCTCTTGTGTGATTCTATCAGGATAATATTTCTTTTATGTTTGTAGACACAATCTATGACGATTACATCATCACTGTATTAAATAAATGAGACAGTTTGGTCATTATAGATAAGTTAATTGAATATTTGGAATGAATTCAAATGAAGTAATCTCTCTGAACACTTTTTTTCCTATTAGAAAATCTCTAGAGGAAAAAGACATGGGTCTCCACAAGGAACAGTAGCTAAATGCCAAGTAATGTGAAAAGCCTATAATGTGAAAAATATATTCTAAGGAAAATTGAACAATAAATTATGAGTTTCACATTCTGAAATACTGAGAAGACAAGTAATATTTAAGCCAGAATGAAAGGGAAACCAGCTCCAGGTTCTCTTCCCTAAGCATATTCTCAGCAAGGGGAGCCTTATTCTTCCTGTTAGAAAGTCCATTCCCAAGAAGCCCTGAGGCTTAGAAGCAGAGAGTGTTAAGAACAGAAGTTGACATTCTGATTCTTGGAATAATAGATCATCTTAGTTCTGCAGTTTTCAGTTAGAGTACAGGCCTTTGATCAAGACCTTGATCCATGTCAGAATCAATCCTTTAATTTTATTCCAATATCATTTCAATAACTGTTTCTACAATAAAGGCATTTTTATTTGCCAAGAAGAGAGCAGTGCTTAAGGTCTGCCTTTGTTATTTCCATGACTTGGCTTACCATTGGCTCCACTGAACACCTTCACTTCATCATATGTTTAGTTAAATATTGGATCTTCGGTGTCATAAGAGCCTAGATAAAGAGTCTCATAAATACTTAACTGAACCAGCTAAGATCTTTATCATGTAAATGGCTCCACGAGAAGTTGGTCATTTTCAACTTACCTAATAAATAGATTAAATTCATCCACCCCAAATGTAATACATATTACTGCTAAAATTTGAAGAGAATATCTGTAAGTGTTGTGCTCTCTTACTGGTAAGTGGTAAAAGATTCACAAACATAGCTTTAATACTGAAAACTATCAGATGTGATCAAAGATACAGTGGTTTATACTATAGTATGACTCCAAGATGGAGAACTAGTATAAAAATAAGTCATAATTCTCTATGTCCTTTCTAGCTGAATTCAAATAATTGCACTGCTTTCCAATTCTCTGAATGACACAATAGTGTTTGTTGTATTAGATAATGCCTACAACAGCCCAGAATCTGAATTTAATTGCTCCAATAGTAAAAAATTCATCAAAAATATCAACTATTGTAGAAATTGCCAAAAAATTCCATGGTTTATAATAATTCTCTCCATACCTATTACCAAACTAGAAAGTTAAATATAGATACAATATATATTTCTTTTTTTAAAAGCAGAAATGCATGTATATTACTCTGTTCTCACATTGCTAGAAGGAAATACCCCAGATTCATTAATTTATAAAGAAAATAGGTTGAATTGACTCACAGTTCTGCATGATTGGGAAGGCCTCAGGTAACTTACAATCATGCCTCTTCACAGGGTGGGAGGAGAGAGAATAAGTGCCAGAAGGGGAAATGCCAGACACTTGTAAAACCATCAGATCTCATAAGAACTCACTCACAAACAGAACAGCATGGGGGAAACCACATCCATGACTCAATTACCTCCCACCTCGTCCCTCTCATGACACATGGGCATAATGGAGATTAAAATTCAAGATGAGATTTGGGCGAGGACACAGCCACACTATCTCAGTATGTTATGTAGTCCCAGCTATTTTTAAGACTGACGTGGGAGAATCCCTTAAGCCCAGGAGTTTGAGTCCAGCTTGGGCAACATAGCAAGACCCTGTCTCAGAAAAGAAAAAGAAAGCTAGAGAGCAGAACACCACATTTAGAGTCTAATTTCTCTAAAAGTGAGATAATTCCCAAAACCATAAATGAAAGCCTGAAAACCTGTGTACAACTTTCTGTAGATTATTTACCCTAAGGGACAAAATGTAAAATTGAAGCTCTACCAAGGAAAAGAGTCCTTTATAAACAACAAGGCTTTCATTTGAGACCACAAGATACTATCTTTGTATGACTACGTCACAAGAGGATTTACTCTTGGAGTAGGAATGCACAGACAATAAGGCAGTCTTCAAAGGAACTGAAGTCCAGCTTGCATCCTCTAATTGCTTGATTGAATTAAGACTATCTGAGATTTTTTATTCTCCAATCCCAACTCTTGAGGAGAAACACAGGAAATTCTCTCTTTAAAAAAAAAATCCCAAAAAATTCTTGAATTGCCACTTTTCATATGCAAAATTGGGCACTCAAAAAAAGTAACAAAGTACAGTAGACAAGGCATGATTGAAAGACAAGTGCAATAAAAAAAAGATGATCTAGATAATGAAATATAAGCATTTTTAATAAGTTTAGTATGAACAAATATTAAAACAAGATAAACAATAAAATGAACAAAATAAACTGAAAAACTAAAATGTATAATAACAAATTAAAAACATAATGGTGGGATTTAACAGCAAATTAGAGAAAAAATTAGAGAATTAGTAAACTGCAAAAAATATTAGAAGAAAATATGCGATCAAAGCAGACAGCAAAAAAAGCAAATGCAGAAAACAGTATAAAAGAGATATAAAGGACAAAGTGTAAAACTCTGACATACTTTTAATTTAATTACAATTCCAGAAAAAGGAGAGAAAGAGAATCAGGTAGGCAAAATATTTGAAGAGATATTGCTGAAAATTCTCTAAAACTGCTGAGCGATATTAAGCTATGAATTTATAAGGTTTTATGAGTTTCATGAAGAATGAATTTTAAAAACAATAATTTGTTTTAAAAGGATAAACAGAAAAGGTACAGCAGAATAAAAGCAAAATACAGACAAAAATTTTAAGAACATACTGCATTCAAGAAAATAATAATAAGGCCATGTGTGGTGCCTCATGTCTGTAATCACAGCGCTTTGGGAGGCCAAGTCAGGTGGATCACTTGAGGCCATGAGTTTGAGACCAGACTAGCCAAATCCAGTCTCTAATAAAAATACAAAATTAGCCAGTTGTGGTGCCAGGCACCTGTTATCCAAGCTACTAGGGAGGCTGAGGCAGAAGAATTGCTTGAACCTGGGATGCAGAGGTTGCAGTGAGTTGAGATGGTGCCACTGCACTCCATATTAGGCAACAGAGCAAGATTCTGTAGAAGGAAAGAAGGAAGGAATGAAGGAACGAAGGAAAGGAGAGGAAAGAAGGAAAGGAAAGGAAAGAGAGAAAAGGAAGAAATAAAGAAGGATAGAAGGAAAGAAAGAAAGAAAAGAAAGAAATAAAAGAAAGAAGAGAAGAAAGAAAGAGAAAAGAAAGAAGAAAATAATAAGACTGACAAACTTCTTCTTAAAAGATGCAGTGAAAACCAAAAGGAAAAGGAAATACCTCTTCACAGTGATAAATGAATAAAAATGTCAACATAGAATCCATTTAAAATCTCACAGAAGTGAACGTAAAATACAGAGATTTCTGACTAATTTAAAAAATATTTAGAGATTCTAGAATCAGCCACAAATTATGGAATAAGAGCTCTGAAGAAGGATCTTTGGAAGGAAGGAAAAAGCTCTGAAATGGAAAAAAGGAAATGCAGGAAAGAAGGAAGACAAATTGAAAGAAGAAATATAGCAATAAATAACATGAATGTTAATCATATGTAAAATTAATAAGTATGAAACCAAAAGAAAAGTGGTGGATTTGAATTCAATACATAATTAACTTTATCTTTTTAATGAGCAAAATTCTCCTATTTAAGAAATAGAACACAACGGTAAGAGCCTTATAAGAGAAACATCTTAAATAACAGTGTGAAAAGGTGAAAATAAAATAATAGAATAAAGTGCATAAATTCTGACCAAAAGAACACTATTTCTATGCTAATATCAGACAAAACTAGACTTCAAGGCAAGAAATATTTCCAGAAATAAATTTTTATAATGGCAAAAGATTAGCAATATGAAGATAAAATTATAAATAGGTACGCACCTGAAAGCACAACTTTATACGTTATTTTTTAAAATAGACTGAGCTAAAAGGATAAATAGGCAAATCAACAATAATACAGGAAGATTTTAGCACAACTCTAAGTGCTAGAATACACACAAAAAAATTTATGAAGATATTTATGATTCAAACAAAACCATTTAGAAAATTTGACCCACTGACATAAGAGATCATCACATACAACACCAGGAAAATAGACATTCTTTTCAGGAGCATATGAAACATTTTCCAAAATCAATCATATACTGGTTCATAAAACAACTCTCTATGAATTTCCTATAATCACCATAATAAAATATGTCACTGAACATCAAGAAAATCAGCTAGAAAATAAAAAACTAAAATTACCCAGAAATTTTCTATCTCAAAATTAAACAAACCACTTTTAAATAATCCATTAGTAAAAATAAATCACAGAAGTTAGGAAGTATTTTGAGCCTAATAATAATGAAAATACAACATATCAAAGCTTGTAAAACTCAGCTAAAATATTACTTGCATTTTCTAGAAAATAATAAAAACTGAAAATCAGTGCACTAAATATCTATTCAAGAAAACATTTCACTTAGCATAATGTCCTCTAGGTACATTCGTGTTATTGCACATGATATAAAAACATCCCACTGTACTCCACAAAGAAAGAAAAAAAGAAAGAAAGAGAGAAAAAAAGAAAGAAAAAAAGAAAGAAAGAGAAAGAAGAAAATAATAAGACTGACAAACTTCTTCTTAGAAGAATTACTTCTTAAACAATTACTGTTTGTCAATTAAAAACAAAATAAAACAAAGAGGTTATTAAGTCTTCCAAGGTCATTCATGTCAAAAATAGCAGAATGATCTTTTGAAGGTTTAATGATATTTGATTATGAAATATTATTGCATTACATATACAAAAACAGAGGGCAAAAATACAAATTTTCATTTTTGTTGGATGAAGTAATACTGGTGATGTAAGGTACAGCATAATGTCTGTTGTCAATAATACCATATATTATGTGAGTATAAGTGTGCATGTGTACATTAGATAGATAGATGATTGATGATAGATAGATAGATAGATAGATAGATAGATAGATAGATAGATAGATGTCACATTGCCTCTATTCATTCATCTATTGATGGATATGTAAGTTGTTTCCATATCTTGGTGATTATGAATAATGCTGCAGTTCATATGGGAGTGCAGGTTATCTCTTCAAGATACTAACTTCATTTTCTTTTGATACATACCAAGTAGTGGGATTTCTGGATCAGATGGTAGTTTTATCCTCCATAGTGCCTTCTATAATGGCTGTATCAATTTACATTCCCGCCAACTATGTAACAGGCTTCCCTGTTCTCCATACTGAAGGGTAAATACCACATGATTTTAATTATATGTGGAATCTAAAAAAAGAAGTCAAACTGATAAGATCAGAGCGTATAATGGTGATTGGGATGGAATGCGGGGAGAAGAAAAGAGATGTTGTTCAAAGAGTACAAAGATGCACTCATGCAGAATGAGTAAGTTCTGGAGAGCTAAGTTACAGCATAGAGAGTATACTTGATAATACCATATTGTACACTTGAAGTGTGCTGAGAAAATGCATCTTAAATATTCTCACCAAACACAAAAGTTAATTATGTGAGGTGATGAACAGGTTGATTGTGGTAATCATTTCACAATGTATACATTTATTAAAATATCACACTGTACATCTTAAATATATGTTATATATTTTTTGTCACATACACCTCAATACAGAAAATAAAAAACAAACTATGTTTTAAAGATTACAACAACAAAAGAAGTAACTAATTTGCATAGAATGGCAAAAACAGACAAAAGTAGACAACTGTTGCACTGTCCCTGGAACGTAGTCTGGAAGCACTGGAGTGAAGGAGGGCAGTAATTTGAGCAGTCAGTCTGGTTTTCCACTGTATGTGGAAGGAATAATAACCATACTTATGGATCTACACTGAAAATGGACACTGGCTAACAGGTTTGATAAGCTAATGAGGAAATTGGAAATTTAAAAATGGAAAAATGATGACAAAGTAGTTGGAAGAGCAGTATGTTCTAATGATACCTGAACCTAAACGTTAACCTGGATGCAAAGAGGGGCTGCTCTGGGAAAGGGCATGCGACCTTTATTGAGGTGGCTTTCTGCAACTTCTAAAGATACTGAAGTGGATATCATCTGAATGCTGTCTACTAACAGCACACCCCCAACAGCTGGAAAAATAAATTCTTCTTTCCTAAATGAAGGGCAAGGCAGAACCTCCTCATGTATACTGTAATATATCCCTTATGCCATTTGAATTTATATATTCTTATACATGATCAGAACAGCTCTTCTAGGATTCTCTTACTTGAGGGGAATTAGAAGAGAAAGGCTTGAGGACAAACTATGTATCTTGCCACTGAAGCTGATCTGAGTTGCAACACAAGGGAATAATGTAGCCTATAGTAATCCTTTTATTTTTTCACACCTTACTTGTTGCAAGGTTTTGTGCTTTTCCCTCTTCCATCATCAAAAGTAGATTTTAACAGCATAATTATTTTGGCAATTTAAATGTTTACTTGTAAAAAACAGGATATGTAAACTATCCTCTATAGCTTAAGTAATTAAAAGTATACTTTAAAAACTGAAAGATAGCATTACTATGACTTCAATGTAAACTACTGTTAACATTTTTCTAGAAAAACAATGATTTAATGTAGTTTCCTGAGAACGTGACATTTTTCAAAAGATAAAATTCCATAATAACAGAAAACCTTCATAATACATTTCACAGTCACACTTTTATAAATCTATTTAAATGACAGTAGCCAAGGTACTAACCTGAGCATATTTATTTACTAGTACATTTACTGGGATAATTTTTAGATTTATAAGTAAAAACCCATATTATGCTTCCAGAACATAACAGGCATTTGTTCCTTTACCCTCCTACAAACTTGACATGATCTGAAGTTTTAAACTTTCCCGTCAAATATATCTGAAATTAGTAGTACACCTTTACTAATATATCGTATAAAATATAACATCCCACAAACTAAGATTATAATTATAAATATATTGGTTTATTATACATGTAATATGGAACATGTTTTTTCTTATTTGGAAAATAGAAAAAGAAAAAATTAGGCTATATATTAAAACCAAAGATACATTCCATATGTGGAACAATTTTCATGTTTGCTAGCTTAACTGTCTAAATTAGAATTCTTTAAAAACTCATATGGATTTAAGACATTAGCTACATATCAACATATCACAGGAATTTTCAATGAATATCTCCTGTCAGTGGTTTCAAATACTCACATCATTTTCCAGAAAAGCAATGCTTCTTTCACAGAGCATTATTGTAGATACCTCATGCATCTATGTGTGATCATAAAACACACGAAATGGATGGCTGATCCAGGGATATAGAATTCGTTCCTAGTGGCTACAGCTTCCACTCTTCCACACAGGCTTTTCATTATCTTGGTCATTAGAGAATTACGGCACTATCCAAAGCAGATGACAAAAATATAAAGATGCTTAAACTTAATAATGTAGAAAGGTAGTTGAATATTCTCACATGCTGGGGAATTTTTTCATAGAAAAAGAAAGATACTATCTTTGCATGACTATGTAAATATTGACCTAATTGGTGGAAATGCACCTGCACAAGCCCCTTATTTTATGACCAAGAATACAAAATGTACCAACACTAAAATTTGTTAGTGAAAGTTTCCTCGATTATGGTGAAGCAACCATAAGTACTTTACTGTGACTGAGGATTTATAAGATTCATGTGCCCAGCTATTAAGGTTTATACCTAACAAGGAAAATGCTGAAATTTAACTTCATGGAAAAACCAATGACAGAGCTTTCTCACAGAAAGAAGCCAAACTCTTCAGTCTCTCAGTCATTCAAATGTCATTCAAATAGCATACCCCTAAGTCCACTTTTTTCCTAATTAAAAGCATGTCCCTATATCTCTCCCCAATCCCAGTAAATTGAGAACTTTCACAATTTTTACAAGAAATGGAGGATATGGCAAGAAAACATCACACATAGAGGACTAGATACCAACTGAAGACATACTCTACCTTAGGCAGAAATTTATTTCAGATATCTCTTGGGTTATTATATCAAGAAAATAATTATCCCATTTATGTGTAGACACAATCTATGAGTTCGACATCATCACTATTTTAAATGAAAGAGGCAGTAAGGTCATTATAGTTTAGTTAATTTGAATATTTGGAATAAATTCAAATAACATAATCTTGTTGAACTCTTTTTTTCCCCTTAGAAAACCTCTAGAGGAAAAAAAGACTTGGGTCTCCCCAAGAAAGACTAGCTAAATGCCAGGTAATGTGAAAAACCTATAATGTGAAAAATATATTCTAAAGAAAATTGGACAATAAATTATGAGCTTCACATTCTGAAATACTGAGGTAAGACAAATGATATTTAAGCCAGAATGAATGGGAAGCTGTTGTGGGAAGTCAGGGACACTGAACAGAGTCACCAGCTGGAATCACGGCAGAGGAACATAAATTGTGAAGTTTTCATGGACATTTGAGTTCCCAAATAATACTCTTATAATTTATTATGTCTGTCTTTACTTTAATCTCTTAATCTTGTTATCTTCATAAGCTGAGAATGTACATTACCTCAGGACCACTATTGTACAAATTGATTGTAAAACATGGGTGTTTGAACAATATGAAATCAGTGCACCTTGAAAATGAACAGAATAACAGCAATTTTTGGGAACAAGGGAAGACAACCATAAGGTCTGACTGCCTGCAGGGTCAGGCACAATAGAGCCATATTTTTCTTCTTGCAGAGAGCCTATAAACAGACATAAAAGTAGGAGAGATATCACTGAATTCTTTTCCCAGCAAGGAATACTAATAATTCATACCCTAAGGAAGGAATGCATTCCTGGGGGGAGATCTATAAACTGTCGCTCTGGGAGTGTCTGTCTTATGCAGTTGAGATAAGGACTGAAATATGCCCTGGTCTCCTGCACTACCCTCAGGCTTACTAGGATTGGAAAATTCCAGCCTGGTAAATTTTGGTCAGACGGGTTATCTGCTCTTGAACCCTGTTTTCTGTTGCTTAAGGTGTTTATCAAGACAATATGTGCACAGCCGAACATAGACCCACATCAGTAATTCTAATTTGGTCCTTTGCCTTGTGATATTTCCTTCACCCTTTGCCTTGTGATCTTTATTGCCCTTTAAAGCATGTGATCTTTGTGACCTACTCCTTGTTTGTACACCCCAATCCCCTCTTAAAGTCCTTAATAAAAACCTTCCGGTTTTGTGGCTCAGGCGGACATCACGGACCTACAGATATGTGATATCACCCCTGGTGGCCCAGCCCTAAAATTTCTCTCTTTGTACTCTTTTTCTTTATTTTTCAGACCAGCCAACACTTAGGGAAAATAGAAATAACCTGTGTTGAAATATTGGGGGCAGGTTCCCCTGACAGGAAGCCCCAGGTTCTCTTCTCTGAGCATATTCCTAGTGAGGAGGGCCTTACCCTTACTGTTAGAAGGTCCATTCCCAAAAAGCCTTGAGGCTAAGAAGCAGAGAGCCTAAGAACCGAAGCTGACCTTCTGATTCTTGGCAAACAGATCATCATAGTTCTGCAGTTTTAGGTTAGAGTACAGGCTTTTGATCAAGGCCTGAATCTATGTTACATATGACCATAGTGATCTGAAGTACATTAATTCAATCCTTTAATTTTATTCCAATATCAATTCAGTAACTGTTTCTACAATAAAGAAATTTGTATTTTCCCACAACAGAGCAGTGCCTAAGCTCTTCAATTGTTATTTCCATGACTTAGCTTACAATTGGCTCTGTTGAACATCTTCATCTCATCATATGTTTAAATATTGGATATTCTGTGTCATAAGAGCCTTAGATAAGAGTCCCATAAATACTTATCTGAACGAGCTAAGGAGCTTATCATGTAACAGGCTCCACTAAATGTTGGTCATTTTCAACTTACCTAATAAACTGATTGAATACATCCATCCCAAATGCCATATATATGAATTCTAAAATATGAAGACTGTGTCTATAAGTGCTGTGCTGTCTTATTGGTAAGTGGTAAAAGATGTACAAACATATCTTTAATTCTGAAGAACTATCAGATATGATCAAAGATATCATGATTTAATTATGACTCCAAGATGGTGAACTAATATGAAAATAAGCCATAATTCTCTGTGTCCCTTCTATCTGAATTCAAATAACCACTAATGCTTTCCACTTTTCAGAATGACACAAAAGTGTTTGTTAGATCGGATGATGCCTACAATAGCACAGAATCTGAATTTATTTGCTCCAATAATAAAAAGTAGACAAAAAATATTAACTAATGTAGAAGTTGTCAAAAATTTCCCATTGTCCATACAAATTTTCTGCAATCCATACCTATTACCAAGCTAGAAAGTTAAACATAGGTACAGTATACACTCATTATTTTTTAAAAAAAGAAATGCATGTATATTAGTGCATTCTCACATTCCTATAAGGAAATACCCAATTCTGGGTAATTTATAAAGAAAAGAGGTTTAATTGTCTCACAGTTCTGCATGATTGGGAAGGCCTCAGGAAATTACAATCATACCTCTTCACAGGGTGGCAGGAGAGAGAATGAGTGACAGCAGCAGAAATTCCAGACACTTATAAAACCATCAGAAGTCATGAGAATTCACTCATGATCAAGAGAAGAGCATGGGGGAAACCACCCCCATGATTCATTTACCTCCTACCTGGTCCCTTTCACAACACATGAGGATAATGGAGATTAAAATTCAAGATGAGATTTGGGTGGGGACACAGCCAAACTATATTAGCATGTTATGTAGTCCAAGGTATTGTTAAGACTGAGGATTTCAGGGTTCATGGTGGATGGGAGCATGGACTAGATTGCAGCTCTGGAATATATGTATTAACAGCATATCCTTCAGTGCACGTAGCATTTGCTTATCCATGCAATGTCTGCATATTTTCATGCTCCTGTGTGGTAACCTCACCATTTGGTTACCATAAAAAAGAGGCAGAAAAACCACTAATGAATGGATATCCAAGAAATTCGGCAAGAGAGAATGCTATTATGGAAGGTCATAAAAGTATTCTGAGGGAAGTTATAAGTGGGCATAGGTTCCAACAAAGAACCCAGGTTTTGACTCATAAAACAAAGAAAATGCCTCTGGCCTAGGATTTTCAGATGGTGGCCACTTTAATATATGCATGAATAACATATAATGATGAGCAGAATAATGACATAGCCCAGTAAGCCAACCAAAATGTGGTGAAGTATAAAGTTCTGTAAAACTATGAGCAGTATTTGCTAGGGTCAAATATTACAACACAGTTTCTTGGCTATTTCATAGGACCATTAGCCATAGATCCTAGTGGTTTCAACTAGACTTATCCTTAAATGGATGTTTTTCTATTTTGTAATTCACTTAGCCTATGCCCCAAGCCACAAGTGACAACACTGTCAAGCTACAGAAACTCTACATAATACCAATTTGCCCAACCTAGTACATCTCATTTATCCAAGATGGAGATTTCCTCATGGCCCATGGACATAAATGGGCTAAAAAGTATGTCACATGGACATATTATACCCCTTACAACTCACATAATAGTGATGTAATAAAAGCTAAAATTGGGTTTAAAAGAGTAATAAGTTATTGAAAAAAATCATAGCAGATGGGAAAGGAGCACAAAGATGGATAATAATTCCTAGAAAGGATATGATTATTATTTTCCCATCAGATTATATTGAATCTTGAGAATAAAACTGTTAATTGTTTCTCTCATATATGACATGAAGTCATTTACTGCCGGGAAATGATACTAGCCTCCTTTTCACATGAGTGGGAGAACTTAAATTAAGGTATTTAACGCTCTGCTTCAGAATTATATTATTTGGAAAAAAATTCCCAATGCAATAAATGGCTCTGTTGATAAAACTGAATAAAAACAAATCATAAATATGAATAAATGAAGATGATAAAAGATAAAGAAGGAAATGGAGTAGTCCAAATGATATTTAAAAAATGACATGGTTTGAATCTGTGTCCCTACCCAAATCTCACGTAGAAATGTAACCCCCAATGCTGGATGTAGGGCCTTGTGGGAGGTGACTGGATTATGGAGGAAGTTTCTCATGATTTAACATCATCCAGTTTTGATACTGTCATCACAATAGCGGGTTCTCATAGGATCTGGTTTTTTAGAAGTGTGTGGCAACTCCACTTCTTGCTCCTGCTCCTGCCATGTAAGATGTACCTGCTCCCACTTTGCCTTCCACTATGATTGTAAATTTACTGAGGCCTCCTCAGAAGCTGAGGAGATGCCAGCATCATGCTTTCAGTTACAGCCTGTAGAAAAATGAGCTGATTAAACTTATTTTTTAATAAATTACAAAGTCTCTCTGATATTTCTTTATAGCAATGCAAGAATGGACTAATACAAAAAATTAGTACCAAAGACTGGGAAATTTCTATAAAGATACCAGAAAATGTGGAAGCAGCTTTGGAATTCGGTAACAGGCAGAGTCTGAAAGAGTGTAGAGGACTTAGAAGAAGACAGAAAGATGAGAGAGAGTTTGGAACTTCCTAGAAAAGTTTGAATGGCTGTGACCAAAATTTTGATAGTGAAGTGAATGGTAAACTCTAGACTGAGGAGGTCTCAGAAAGAAACAAAAAACTAAATGGGAACTGGATGGAATAAGGGTCATTTTTGCCAAGCTTCAGCAAAGTCTGGCTGCATTGTGTCCCTTTTCTATGGATCCATCAAACTTTGAACTTGAGAGTGATGATTTAGGGTATCTGGCAGAAGAAATTTCTAAACAGCACAGCATTCAAGATTTATCCTGGCTGCTTCTAATAACCTAAGCTCATACAAATGAGCAAAGAAATAACATGAAACTGGAACTTATATTCAAGTGGAAAGCAGAGTGCAAAAGGTTGAAAATTTGCCACCTGGTCATTTGGTTGAAAAGAAAAGCCCATTTTCTGGGAAGAAATTCAAGCAGGCTGCAGAAATTTGTATAAGTGGAACCATGTGCTAACCAACAAGGCAATGGGGAAAAGCCCTCAAAGGCATTTCAGAGATCTTTTCAGCAGCCCCTCCCATCACAGGCCAGAAGACCTAGGAGAAGTGAACGGTTTTCTGGGCCAGTCCCAGGACCCTGTTGCCCTCAGCAGCCTTGTGACACTGTTGTGTGTATCCCAGCCATTTCAGGTCCAGCTGTGACTAAAAAGGGCCAAAGTACAGTTCAGATGATGAAAGCTGTGAATTTTGAAGGCTTTCATGTGGTGTTAAGCCTGCAGGTGAACAAATTGCAAGAGAGGAGGCTTGGGAGCCTCCAACCAGGATTCAGAGGAGGTATCAAAAAGTCTGGAACTTCAGACCAAAGCCTGCTGCATGGGTGGAGAATCACAGACAATCTGTACTAGGACAGTGCAGAGGGAAAATGTGTGGTTGGAGCCCACACACGGAGTACCCACGGGGGCACTGACTAGTGGAGCTGTGAGAAGAGGACTACCATCCTCTAGACCCCAAAATGGTAGATCCACCAGAAGCTTGCACCCTGCACCTAGAAAAGCCATGGGCCCCCTCAAGAGCAACAAAAGACATTAAGAGCAACTGTGCTGCCCAAACCCTATAAAGCCACATGAGTGGAACTACACAAGGCCTTAGAAGACTACCCATTGTACCAGTATGCCCTGGATGTGAGGCATGGAGTCAAAGGTAATTGTTTTGTAACTTCAAGATTTAGTGACCACTCTGCCAGATTACAGATTTCCATGGGGCCTGTAACCCCTTTCTTTGTGCTGATTTCTCCATTTTGGAATGAAAGAATTTACCCAATTCCTATATCTTCTTTGTATCTTGGAAATAACTAGGTTGCTTTTGATTTTACATGCTTAGGTGAAAGGGACTAACCTTGTCTCAGACGAGACTGGACTGTGCACTTTTCAGTCAATGCTGGAATGGGTTAACACTTTGGGGGACTGTTGGGAAGGAATGATTGTATTTTGAAAGTTGAGGAAAAGATGAGATTTTAGGGAGGTGAGGAGAAGAATGATATGGTTTTGATCTCTGTCCCTACCCATTAACTGGCCTGACATCTCTACTTTCTACCACTGGGATCTCTGACCACCATGTAAAACACCTGACTATACTTTTGGTTCTTCTGGTTCTTCACCTAAATGGATAGGAAGAAGGACCCAGGGATCTTTACAGTCATCTCTTCCAATATATTATAAATGTGAATTAAGTTATTCTGCATCCTACAGACTACCCTGTTAGCTGAATAAGGCAGTGACTTCAGTCCTATACTCCAAAGCAGAAGAAATACCAAGCCAACCTGCCTGAATTTCTGGCACACAAAATTTTGAAATAAAATAAAATGGTGGTGGTTTTAACTCACAAAAACTGTGAAGCCTTGCACCATGCCTGAAGGGAGGACCAGAAAAAAAAGTGGTACCTCAAAGTGTGGTGATTCCATAACAACAATTCAGTGTGTATTGCATTGGCTATAGTGCCAAAAAATAGAAGCCTCCAGAATGTTGTAAGTGGAGGCTGTAAAGACAGAAGTAAATGTTCTTGAGGAAAGGGAAGAGACTTAGTCACTATCCAGTGCTGGAAACCTTTAGTAATTCTGTCACCTGTAGTAAAGTAGAAAATAAAAATTGTACCTAAGAGAATAGGGGGTTTTGGCTAAAATTTCCAAGTAGAATATGATAAGTTACCACTGTTTCTTATAGCAATGTATCTTACCATAAGGCATTAGATTTTGTTATAAAAAATAACAAAAGATTAACTGTTACACTTTCAAACAGAATTTACAAGAAACATGAAAGAGCCAGAATTTGCCGGTTTCAGAAACAGAACTAGTTTCCCTTTCCAGTCTCTGCAAAGAGCTAAGTACTCTAAAGGTAAGAAAGGTCATCAAAATAAATGTCATTTCAAAGTTGTGGATGTTAAGACCCTCTCGTATATACTTTAAACTAGACAAACATAATTCTAACATTCTTAAGAGTATTAGCTCACTGCACATAGACTTTCAGCCCAAGTCTGAGAAGGGCCAGTTTCAAAGATATTTGTGAGTATGCTGCTTGTGAGTGTACTAAAGCAAGCACCATAGGCTTCACTTGTGAACAGGAGGATCTATTTTAATTGCCTGGTCCTCTCTTTCTCCATTATGTGCTGGGCATGTGGAAGAAATACACTGTCTCAATGGATTTGTAAATAGAGAAAAACCATAATTTAAAAAGTGCACAATAGACACTGCACCCAAGGATCCCATCCACATTCGGTCTGGATATAGAGGTTGAGATCTTGAATATCAAACAGATGCCATGATGGGATGACATCTTATTTGAGCGGGGAGCTTCAAAATCCTGCCTTCCCAAACTAGGAAATCTTAATTGACCTTAGAAGTCTAACAATCTCACAGGACAGACGTTGTCTCCATACACTTCTACTAAAAGAAGAGAAACACTCATTCTAACTATAGTTAAGTTTTTAATGCCAGAGTTTTTTTACATTGGATTTTACAGCAATTCTCATCTCTAAATTTCTCAGTGTGTATATTAATGGATTCAACATGTGTATGATAACTGTATAAAACACAGTCATGAATTTATCAATAGGAAAGTTCGAAACAGGTCTAACGAAAAGGAAAATACAGGGAACAAGAAACAGGACAGTGACTGTTATGTAGGAGATGCAGGCAGACAGGGCTTTAAGCCTCCCTTCCTGACTATAAGTTTTAAAGTTGTTTAGGATGACTCCATAGGAGATTAGTAGAAGGGTGAAGACGACCATACAGATTGCTAGACCATTGGCAACAACAGTGAGACCTATAAAGTAGGTATCAGTGCAAACCAGTTCCAATAATGGGTACATGTCACAGACAAAGTGGTCAGTGACATTTGGCCACAGAACGAGAGAGTGTACACAACAACAATTTGAAACACACAACTCACAAAACCTCCAGTCACAGCCACCACCAACAGAAGGATACAAACCTGTTGATTCATGATGGTCAAATAGTGCAGTGGCTTAGAGATGGCCACATAGAAATCGTAGGACATCCCCACAAGTAGGAAGACCTCAGCACCACCAAATAAGTGGTCTATAAATAGCTGCCCCATGCATGCTGTGAAGAAAATAGTCTTTTTATCATGGAGTAAGCCTATAATCAATTTGGGAGAAATGGTATTGGAATATGCAGCATATATAAATAACAGGCTGTGAGGAAGAAGTACATTGGGGAGCCAAAGGAAGGGCTGGAAATAATAGCCACCACAGCAAGCAAGTTTCCCGCCATACTCACAACGTATGTGAGTAAAACCATGACAAATAATGCATTTTGCACATCAGGACACTGAGTGTTGCCCAAGAGGACAAATTCTGTAACATTATTACTCAGTCCCCTTTACTCTTCTCTAAGGCTTCTGTCACAGTTGAGAGCTCAGGAGAACAGGACCTGTAATGAAATAGTGAACAGGAATATGAATACATCCATGATGTCACAGAGCACCTCTTCATCATTTTATCTTCAGTACAGATTTACACACACAATAAACTTTTTGTAAGTTTCTATTGAGTTTCTCATCTTCTCAAAGATTTTAGTTTGAGCCTACAGGTAACAGCTTGTGCCTCTAAGTTTTTGTGAATATTCTGTACAGAAGAAGAGTTAAAGGCCCACTAGCCATTCATATATTTCATAACTCCTATTTAAAACATATTTCTTGGCATGGAAGTCAGCTATGATGAATAGGAAACAGATTATTGGTCTCAAGAAAGTTACTTTCTCATGGCGGTAACAGACTTTAAATAAATAAGTTGGCATAGATTCAGTACTGTGAGTTTGTAGTTTTGGTATCTTTATGATCTGTGTAGCATCAAAAATAACATCTTCTGAAATAGCTCACTCAGTACTGTGGCAATCCACAGTTACTCATTTGGTCCTTCATGCCTCAAAAAATATTCGGTCTTTTTGAATATCTCATTAAATGTCAAAAGACTGGACATTGACTTGTACAAATAGTAAAATATTATTTATCACGTTGTTCCCTATGGCAACGATTTGGTCTGACCCTCTGTTGCCTTATAACAAGATATATGTCTCTATATCTTATCCTTACTTATTTCACAAATTTTTTGTCACATTTACATACAATATCCTGGTTTTCAACAACTAATTTTGAACTCAAGTAAACTAATTGATGAATATCACCAACTGCCACATTAGCTGTGAGTAATTTTTTCTGAATTCTTCAAGTGAACTACATAGTGAGGGAGGAGAAAATATACACTGTACAAAGAGGAACAGAATGGTGGTACATGGTTTATTTATAACACTATTTAGATATCAGGAGTACTCACAAATAGAACCTTAGTGTTAAGATTCCAAAAAAAAAAAAAAGCATACTCGAAGAGAAATTCCAACTGCACTGTAAGGTAACATGAATTTGAGTCATTTTCTGAATGCATTTACAAGTCTGTCTTCGTTTGCTCACAGGAAAACAACATGATTAAATTAGATGAAGTGAAAATCCTTTCTAGTCAACCATCTACAAAACTATTAGTGCACCTCTCCCTTACTCTGTTCTGCAGACTTTTTTATTTTTCATATATTTATAATTAAATAGCAATTTCCAAGCTCATGACTGTTACATTAATAACGGTAGTCATTGTAGATGTTTCATGATTACAGTGAGTAAATAATGACTACAAGTTTCTCTTTCAATATGTGCCTAATTAAGTTTCAAGACATCATTGGAGAGAAGGCATAGCATGTGGTGAATAATGTGGACACCAGAGCCACACTGCCTCTGCTTCAACCCCTGCTTCACCACTTACTATGTGTCTTTGGGCCACTTACTAAGCCTCTCTGTGCCTCACTTTGATTTAAAACCTCTTAGGGTTGTCTTATCACAACAAAGTAAAGTGCCTAGAACACTGGCTGGCATCTGGTAAAGGCTCAATAAGTGATGGCTATTACTCATGTTCCTGAAAGCTTCACTGTGAACATTGGATCAGAACGAATCATCTGGATCTTTGCTAATTTGAAAAGACTAATAGACATAGTCCTGGGAAAAGAAAAAAAATACACCTATAATTCAGGAATGGCTTTTGGGGAAGACAATATATGTCTTAGTAACTACCTGTTTAATTATGTATGAGTACTTATTTTATCTGTGATGGAATGTATCTTGAAAAGATCAGGAAGAATTATAGTGAAAAAGTTGGACCCCTCATCAGAGGTAGAGCGAAATGGTAGAAAATGGAAGAAAAAGGAGTCAAGTCAAGAAACACAGTAATTACAATAAGTTAATATACACAGGTAATAAGAAGATTAAGATTAATGTGATAATTGACGCAATTATTCTCCTAAAAATCTTCATAAAGATTTTTAGTGAGGAAATACTGGAAGCACAACCTCCTGTTTGTCCCTGGGGTGACTCAAGAGGCTTCTTGGGGTAGCCAAACACAGACCAAATTCTAGTGAATAAAAAAAAGAAAAAGAAAGAAAACTCAGAAGAAAAACAGAACACACTGATTTCTCAAAGTCTCTAGGTCAGATAGATAAGGACAAATTTAAATTACAGAGAACAATGGGACAAGTAGAAATACAAACCCAAACTTCCTGATTACTCACTGATGAGGAAAATGGCAAAATTACTAAACCTCAAGTGTAGACAAGATGATTCCATTTGCATAGATCTGGCAGTGGAAGAGGATGTGTACAGAGAGAGTTTGAGCTGTCTCTAGAAGCCAGAGTGATGAACATTCCACATGTCTAATTCACATTACCTCTTTCAGTTGATTCCAGAGTTCTGTCACTGTTGAAGCTGTAGACTGATAGAGACATATCTGCTGAAGAACAAAAGGGAATAATATAGCCTATAGCCAATTCTGTTATTTTTCCACACCTTACTTCCTGCAAGGTTTACTGTCTTTTCCCTCTTCCATCTTCAAAACTAGACTTCAACAACAGGATAATTCTATTTGGCAATTTAAATGTCTACTTGTAAAAACATAAGGTATGTAACCTATCCTCTATAGTTTAAGTAATTAAATATGGAATACTTTAGAAACTGAAAGACAGCATTACTAGGCTTTCAATGGAAACCGTTAACATATTTCTAGAAAAAATGATTTAACAGTGTTTCCTAAGAACATGCCAGTTTTAAAAGATAAAATTCCATAACAAAAAACTTCTATAATATTACATTTCACAGTCACAGTTATATAAATCTATTTAAATGACAGTAGACTAAGTACTTTCCTCAGCATATTTATCTACTAGTATGATTGCTGGGATAATTTTTAGATTCATAAGTAAAAACCCATATTATGCTTCCAGAACATAACAGGCATTGGTTCCTTCACAATCAAACACGTTTGACATGATCTGCAATTTTAAACTCCATAATCAAAAATATTTGAGTAATTGTTCACCTTTATTAATACGGTATATAAAATATTCCATAACCTAAGATTATGATTATAAATTTATTGGTTTATTATACATGTAATATGGAACATGTTTTTCTTCCTATTTGGCAGAATGGAAAAAGAAAACCAATTTGGCTGTATATTAAAACCAAATATACATTATATATTCTGATAAATTTCCATGTTTGTTGGCTTAATTTTCCCAATTAGAATTTATCCAATGAAGTCATGTGGTATTTATGACATTACCTGTACTTCAACATATCACAGAAATTTGCAATGAATATCTCTTGTCAATGGTTTCAAATACTCACATTTTGGTCCAGAAAAGCAATGTTTCTTTCATTGAGGGTTACTGTAGATACCTAATGCATCTATGTGTGATCATAAAACACATGAGTATAAATGGCTGATCCATGGATATAGAATTAGTTCCTAGTGGCTACAGTTTCCACAGTTCCACACAGGCCTCTCATTATCTCAGTCTTTAGAGGAGTATAGCACTATCCAAAGCAGATGACCAAAATATTAAAATGCTTAAACATAATGTCAAATTTTATTCTACAAATGTAGTTGAATGCTCTTACCTGCTGAAAAATTTCTTCATAAAAAACAAAGATCCTAAATTTGCATGACTATATACAAATTGACATACTTAGTAGAAATTAACAAAGATGAGTCCATTATTATTTAGTGGCAAAAGTATCAACACTACAATTTGTTACTTGAAAGTTTTCTTAATTATGGTGAAGCAACCAGAAGCACTTTACTATGATTGAGGATTTGTGATAACATTCAGGGTCCAGCTACTAACCTTTGTACCTATCAAGAAAAATGCTGAGATTCAACTTCATGGAAAAACAAATGACAGAGCCTTCCCATAGGCAGAAGCCAAACATTTCAATCTTTCAGTCATTCAACTAGCATATCCCTAAGATCACTTCTTTCCTAAGTGAAACCATGTCTCTTCATCTCCCCAATCTCATCCCAGGAAGTTGAGAACTTTCACACATTTTTACAAGCAATGGTGGGTATGACAAAAAAAAAAAATTACACCTAGAGGACTAGATACCAACTGAAGACATACGCTATCTGGAGCAAAAAAATCACTTTTTCAATATCTTCAGGGATATTCTAGCAGGTAAATAATTCATCCATTTATGTGTGTAGACACAGTCTATGACTTTTACATCAACAATATTTTAAATGGAAGGGACTGTAAGGTCATTATAGATTTGTTAATTAGAATATTTGGAAAATGTAAAGCACCCAATTCTGTCACTGTTTGTGGCACCACTTGTAACCTGCTACAATCCCTGGTGGACTGAACAAAGGGGGTGAAGGCGGGAATAAAAGCAAAGAGACAAAGAGTATATTTGGAAGAAGGGGTCGGGGGCATCTTGCCTCTAGTGAAAAAGGGTCCTGAGCTTTACACAACCCTCCATATTTATTAGGCAAAAGAGATAGCGAGGAGGGCGAGTAGTTGTCAGATAACTGTCAGTCCACCCTTTGGTTCACAGCAGGCTTGCGAGGCTGTATTCCAGGAACAATTGGTGCTAGATGTCTCAGGAAATAACTTCAAGGAGCCCAGTGCCAGGAGGTGATGGCCCTCAGCAAACCTTCTGGTGGCAGGCACAGATGTGAGTTTGCCCACATCCTGCATTCATGGTAAACAGTTTGCTGTTTGATCATATAGCCTCCAGTGGAATGCTGAGCTGGTCACAATGCCTCTGCTGGCTCTCTACATCTCCCCGTTTCTGTTTATGGATTAATTAAAAGAATATAAGGCCAGGCTGGGCAGATCTCATTTTCTGTTTAGTGGTCCATCTGATTTTACAGACTATGAACAGAAGACAGAGACAAAACAACATTATTCCAAGAACTACATATAAGATGTTAATGTGGTGCCTTAAATAGGTCCAAGGGTTGAGGCTCTCCAGGCCTTGCTGGAATTCGGTCCAGTCTTCTAAGGCTGAAATTCTTGAGTTTCCCTATTTAAATCAAGAATTTTGTTTTGTAATTCACTGATATCAAAGATGATATTGGATGTGAAAGCTCCCTTCAATGGGCTTTCACACAGTGCCATGGTGCCATGGATACTCACTTTGGTTATATTCTAAGTTGGTTACACAAATGTGAGTGTGGTTACAATGGCGACAGAATTGCTGCTGCAACTGCAGGCTTTGTACTTGTTCCTCTAATCATAGGACTGTGGATTTCAACATTGCAACTTCAGTTTGTAACTCAGGATTAATTTTATTCTGGCCATGATACCTGCTGGACTAAACAAAGACAAAGAAAAAAGAAAATATATTTGGAAGAAGGGGTCAGAGGGCACCTTACCTCTAGTAAACAAGGGCCCTGAGCTATACACAGCCCTCCGTATTTACCAGGCAAAAGAAATAGCCAGGAGGGGTGGGTAGTTTTCAGGCAATTGTCAGTCATCCATTTGGTTCACAACAATTGGTGTTAAATGTCTCAGGAGATAACTTCAAGGAGCCCTGTGCCAGGAAGTGATGGCCCTCAACAAACCTTTTGGCAGCAGGCACAGTGTGAGTTTGCTCACATCCTGCATTCATGATAAACAGTTTGCATTCATGATAAACAGATATATTCATATAGCCCCCAGTGGAATGCTGAGCTGGTCACAATCCCTTTACCGGCTCTCTGCAGGAACAAATTCAAATGAAGTAATCTCTCTGAAAACCTTTTTTTCTAAGAAAATCCCTAGAAGAAAAAGACTTGGCTCTTGCTAAGGAAAAGTAGCTAAATGCCAAATAA
Organism: Homo sapiens; assembly: GCF_000001405.40. Taxonomy (NCBI): domain Eukaryota; kingdom Metazoa; phylum Chordata; class Mammalia; order Primates; family Hominidae; genus Homo; species Homo sapiens. The sequence goes on along the minus strand of NC_000011.10, from coordinate 54,719,094 downwards.
TTTGAAAAGCCTGTAATATGACAAGAAAAACTCAAAAGTAAATTGAATAGTAAATTATGAGTTTTACATTATGAAATATTTAGGTGAGACAAGTAATATTTCAGCCAGAATGAAAGGAGATCGAGCCCCAGGCTCTCATCTTTAAAAATGTTCCCAGTAAGGAGAGCCTCACCCATCCCGTTAAAAAGTCTGTGCCCAAGAAACCCTGAGGCTCAGAGGCAGAGAGCCTAAGAACAGAAGTTGACATTCTGATTCTTGGAAAGATAGGTAATCATAGTGCTGCAGTTTAATTAGAGTACAGGCTTTTGATCAAGACCTGAAACTATGTCAGATAAAATCATAATGATCTGCACTCCATTAATTCAATCCTTTAATTTTATTCCAATATTAATTCAATAACAGTATCTACAATACAGAAATTTGTATTTGCCAACAAGTGAGTAGTGCTTAAGGGCTTCCACTGTTATTTCCATGACTTGGCTTACCATTGGCTCCATGGAACACCTTCATCTCATCATATGTTAATTAAATATTGGTGTGATAGAAGCCTTAGATAAAGAGTCCCATAAATACCCATCTGAGCCAGCAAAGATGTTTATCACATAATGAGCTCCACTAAAAGTTGGTCATTTTCAACTTACTTAATACATGTTTTAAATTCATCCACCCCAAATATAACATGTATTATTATTGCTAAAACTTGAAGAGCATATCTATCAACATTGTGCTCTCTTACTAGTAAGTGGTAAAGCATGCACAAACATATGTTTAATTCTGGGGAACTATCAGATATGATCAAAGATACTGTGGTTTAAATTATGACTCCAAGATGAAGAACTAATATATGAAAACAAGACCTAATTCTCTATGTCCCTTCCAACAGAATTCAAATAACTACTAATACCAACACCCACTGTGGAAATAAATCCTTCCTCAGCCAAGCCTTCATATGAGATGGTAGACCCAACCAGCACCTTGATTACAGTTTTGTGAGAGACCTTGAAGCACGGGAACCTGCCAAACCACACTGTTTCCTCACCTACAGAAATTGAGAATGAGTACAAATTGTTTGAATCACTAAGTTTTGAAATATTTTGCTATGAATAAATATGTAACTCATAAATGTATCTAGAATATACTTCAAATACTGGGAAACATGCCAATAAATATTTAGTGAACTTATGAATCAAAGAAAAAGATATAATGAAGCTAAGCAAATAAAACTAAGCAATAACAGAAACATATCAAAATGTGTGAGGTTTGATCAAAACAGTACTTAAAGAAAAATGTATAGCTATAAATGCTTACATTTAAAATAAATGTTTAAAAGCAGCCATTCAATCCTTCACCTTAAGAAGCTAGAAGAAGAGTAAATAAAAGCCAAGGTAAGTAAAAAAAGGACATAAACATAAGATCAAAAACCAATAAAATGGAAAACATAAAATAGAGAAAATAAAAATAGCCAAAATTCGTACTTTTATAATCAAATTGATAAACTGTCAGCAAGGGGAGATCAAGAGAAAACAAAGAGAAATCCAAATTACCAATATCAGAAATAATAAAACAAATAATCATCCCATAGTTCCTTTAGGCGTTAAAAGGTTAGAAAATGATAGTTATGAAACGCATTATTTCTTTTTTTTTTTAAGTTTCAAAACGTTTATTTATTTATTATACTTTAAGTTCTGGGATACATGTGCAGAACGTGTAGGTTTATTACATAGGTATACACATGCCATGGTGGTTTGCTGCACCCATCACCCTGTCATCTATATTAGGTATTTCTCCTAATGTTATCCCTCCCCTAGCCCCCAGCCCCCCTGACAGGACCCTGTGTGTGATGTTCCCCTCCCCAGGTCCATGTGTTCTCATTGTTCAACTTTCACCTATGAGTGAGAACATGCGGTGTTTGGTTTTCTGTTCTTGTGTTAGTTTGTTGAGAATGATGGTTTCCAACTTCACCCATGTCCCTACAAAGGACATGAACTCATCCCTTTAATGGCTGCATAGTATTCCATGGTGTATATTTGCCACATTTTCTTTATCCAGGCTATCACCGATAAGCAGTAGGGCTGGTTCCAAGTCTTTGCTATTGTGAACAGTGTCGCAATAAACATACATGCGCATGTATCTTTATAGAATGATTTATAATCCTTTGGGTATATAGCCAGTAATGGGATTGCTGGGTCAAATGGTATTTCTGGTTCTAGATCCCTGAGGAATCACCACACTGTCCTCCGCAATGGTTGAACAAATTTACACTCCCACTGACAGTGTAAAAGTGTTCCTATTTCTCCACATCTTCTCCAGCATCTGTTGTTTCCTGACTTTTTAATGATGGGCATTCTAACTGGTGTGAGATAGTATCTCATTGTGGTTTTGATTTGCATTTCTCTAATGAACAGCGATTAGGAGGTTTTTTTCATGTGTTTGTTGGCCACATAAATGTCTTCTTTTGAGAAGTGTCTGTTCATATATCCTTCACCTACTTTTTGATGGGGTTGTTTTTTATTTTATTTTATTTTATTTTATTTATTTTATTTTATTACACTTTAAGTTTTTGGGTACATGTGCACAATGTGCAGGTTTGTTACATATGTATATATGAGTCATGTTGGTGTGCTGCACCCATTAACTCATCATTTAGCATTAGGTATATCTCTAAATGCTATCCATCCCCCCTCCCCCCACCCCACAACAGTCTCCAGAGACCGATGTTCCCCTTCCTGTGTCCATGTGTTCTCATTGTTCAATTCCCACCTATGAGTGGGAACATGTGGTGTTTGGGTTTTTGCCTTTGGGATAGTTTGCTGAGAATGATGGTTTCCAGTTTCATCCATGTCCCTACAAAGGACATGAATTCATCATTTTTTATGGCTGCATAGGATTCCATCGTGTATATGTGCCACATTTTCTTAATCCAGTCTATTGTTGTTGGACATTTGGGTTGGTTTCAAGTCTTTGCTATTGTGAATAGTGCCACAATAAACATACGTGTGCATGTGTCTTTATAGCAGCATGATTTATAATCCTTTGGGTATATACCCAGTAATGCATTATTTCAATTAATTGGACAGCTTAGATGAATTGGGTAGAATGTAGGGAAAGGACAACCTTCTGAAAATGACACAAACAGAAACTGACACACTCCTATCTCTTTCCAAGTAATGAACTAACCTTACCTGTAGAAAATATGATAGTGTTTCAGAAAACCCTAAAGAATCTACAGACATAATTGAACATAGTTAAATTTCCCTTATAAATACTAGCAACAAGGACATTGGAATTTTTTTTTAATGAAAAACCTTTGATGAAATCTGAAAACATAAACACTTAGGAATAGATAAGGAAGATCCATAATAAAAACTACAAAACTCTCCAAAAATAATCATTTAAAATACGTAACAGATATATTGTATTCAGGAATTAGAAAACCCACTATTGTTAAGATATTATTAGTACAAGATGATTTATGGATCCAACTTGAATAAAACTCCAACATGCTCCTTTTGAGATGTAGACAATTGTTCTGCATGCTGCTCTGTGAAATGATTTTACCACTTCCCACTCAAGGGTTATCATCTATTTCTGTAAAACATCAAATCTGGGGTGGTCATGTGACCACTCGTTTGAATAGAATATGATGCAAGTGACATTGCACCAGTTATGGACATAGCACTTACCTGGCCAAACTCATCTATGTTCTACCACTGCGATCTCTGAGCACCATACAAAAAGTGTGGCTATTCTCTGGAGTGATCTCGTGGTCCTTTATCTAAAGAGATAGGAGAAGGAACACAGTGCATCTCTTAATGTCATCCCTTCTAATATACTATAAATGTGAATTAAGTTATCCTGCCTCTTACGGAACATTTAGTTATCAGGTGAATAAGAGAGTGACTTCACTCCTTGCCACACAAAACAGAAGAAGCACCCTGCCAACAACTGCCTGAATTCCTGGCTCACAAAATTTTGATATAAAATGAAATGATGGTTGTTTAACTCACAAAAACTGTGGAACCCTGAACATTACATGAAGACAGAACCAGAATAAAAGTGACATCTCAAGGCGTGGAGTTTCCATAACTACAATTTAAAGTGTATGGAATTGGCTTTAGTGTCCAAAAATAGGGGCCACCAGGACACTGTAAGTGAATGCTCAAAAGACAGAAGTAACTATTCCAGAAGCTGTGAAAATTTGACTTGTGATGCAATGCTGAAAAAATTTAGTACCTCTGTCACCCATAGGAAGGTAGAAAATGAAAAATATACATAAGTAAATTGGTGGATATGGCTAAAATTTCCAAGTAGAATACTGAAAATTTCAGCTGTTTCTTACAGCAGTGTATCATATAATAAGGCATAGATATTTAAAAAACACTAATGAGGGGTGGAGCAAAGATGGCCGAATAGGAACAGCTCCAGTCCACAGCTCCCAGCATGAGCGATGCAGAAGACTGGTGATTTCTGAATGCCCAACTGAGGTACCGGATTCATCTCTCTGGGGAGTGTTGGAAAGTGGGTGCAGTGTAGTGGGTGCAGTGCACCGAGCATGAGCCGAAGCAGGGCGAGGTAACACCTCACCTGGGAAGTGCAAGGGGTCAGGGAATTCCCTCTCCTAGTCAAAGAAAGGGGTGACAGATGACACCTGGAAAATGAGATCACTCCCACCCTAATACTGCACTTTTCCAACAGTCATAGCAAATGGCACACCAGGAGATTTTATCCTGCACATGGCTTGGGGGGTCCTAAGCCCATGGAGCCTTGCTCATTGCTAGCACAGCAGTCTGAGATCAAACTGCAAGGCAGCAGCAAGGCTGGGGTAGGGGCACCCGCCATTGCCAAGCCTTGAGTAGGTAAACAAAGCGGCCTGGAAGCTTGAACTAGGTGGAACCCACCGCAGCTCAAGGAGGCCTGCCTGTGTCTCTAGACACCACCTCTGGGGGCAGAGCATTGCCAAATAAAAGGCAGCAGAATCCTCTGCAGATTTAAATGTCTCTGTCTGACAGCTTTGAAGGAGTAGTGGTTCTCCCAGCATGCAGCTGGAGATCTAAGAACAGACAGACTGCCTCCTCAATGAGTCCCTGACCCTCGAGTAGCCTAACTGGGAGGCATCCCCAAATAGAGGCAGACTGACACCTCACACGGCCGGGTACTCCTCTGAGACAAAACTTCCAGAGGAATGATCAGGCAGCAGCACTTGCTGTTCACCAAAATCCACTGTTCTGCAGCCTCCGCTGCTGATACCCAGGTAAACAGGGTCTGGAGTGGACCTCCAGCAAACTCCAACACACCTGCAGCTGAGGGACCTGACTGTTAAAAGGAAAACTAACAAATACAAAGGACATCGAAACCAAAACACCAACTGAATGTCACCATCATCAATGATCTAATGTAGATAAAACCACAAAGATGGGGAAAAAAAGAGCAGAAAAACTGGAAACTCTAAAAATCAGAGCACCTCTCCTCCTCCAAAGGAATGCAGCTCCTCACCAGCAATGGAACAAAGCTGGATGGAGAATGACTTTGACGAATTGAGAGAAGAAGGCTTCAGACCATCAAACTACTCTGAGCTAAAGGAGGAATTTCAAAACCATGGCAAAGAAGTTAAAAACCTTGAAAAAAAAATTAGACGAATGGCTGACTAGAATAACCAATGCAGAGAAGTCCTTAAAAGACCTGATGGAGCTGAAAACCAAGGCATGAGGACTACGTGACAAATGCACAAGCCTCAGTACCTGATTCAATCAACTGGAAGAAAGGGTATCAGTGATGGAAGATAAAATGAATGAAATGAAGCAAGAGAGAAGTCTAGAGAAAAAAGAATAAAAATAAATGAAGCCTCCAAGAAATATGGGATTATGTGAAAAGACCAAATCTACTTTTGATTGGTGTACCTCAGAGTGACGGGGAGAATGGAACCAAGTTGGAAAACACTCTGCAGGATACTATCCAGGAGAAATTCCCCAATCTAGAAAGGCAGGCCAACATTCACATTCAGGAAATACAGAGAACCCCCCAAAGATACTCCTCAAGAACAGCAACTCCAAGAAACATAATTGTCAGATTCACCAAAGTTGAAATGAAGGAGAAAATGTTAAGGGCAGCCACAGAGAAAGGTCGGGTTACCCACAAAGGGAAGCCCATCAGACTAACTACTGATCTCTCAGCAGAAACTCTACAAGCCAGAAGAGAGTGGGGGCCAATATTCAACAGGCTTAAAGAAAAGAATTTTCAACTCAGAATTTCATATCCAGCCAAACTAAGCTTTATAAGTGAAGGAGAAATAAAATCCTTTACAGACAAGCAAATGCTGAGAGATTCTGTCACCACCAGGCCTGCCATAAAAGACCTCCTGAAGGAAGCAATAAACACGGAAAGGAACAACCAGTACCAGCCACTGCAAAAACATGCCAAATCGTAAAGACCATTGAGGCTAGGAAAAAACTGCATCAACTGACTAGCAAAATAACTAGCTAAGAGCATAATGACAGGATCAAATTCACACATAACAATATTAACTTTAAATGTAAATGGTCTAAGTGCTCCAATTAAAAGACACAGACTGACAAATTGAATAAAGAGTCAAGACCCATCATTGTGCTGTATTCAGGAAATCAATCTCACATGCAGAGACACACATAGGCTCAAAATAAAAGGATGGAAGAAGATCTACCAAGCAAATGGAAAACAAAAATCCAGGGGTTGCAATCCTAGTTTCTGATAAAACAGACTTTAAACCAACAAAGATCAAAAGAGACAAAGAAGGCCATTACATAATGGTAAAGGGATCAATTCAACAAGAAGAGCTAACTATCCTAAATATGTATGCACCCAATACAGAAGCACCCAGATTCATAAAGCCAATCCTTAGAGACCTAGAAAGAGACTCAAACTCCCACACAATAATAATGGGAGACTTTAACTCCCCACTGTCACCATTAGACAGATCAATCAGACAGAAAGTTAACAAGGATATCCAGGAATTGAACTCAGCTCTACACCAAGGAGACCTAATAGACATCTACAGAACTCTCCACCACAAATCAACAGAATATACATTCTTCTCAGCACCACACCACACCTATTCCAAAAGTGACCACATAGTTGGAAGTGAAGCACTCCTCAGCAAATGTAAAAGAACAGAAATTATTATAAACTGTGTCTCAGACCACAGTGCAATCAAACTAGAACTCAGGATTAAGAAACTCACTAAAAACCGCTCAACTAGATGGAAACTGAACAACCTGCTGCTGAATGACTACTGGGTAAATAATGAAATGAAGGCAGAAATAAAGATGTTCCTTGAAACCAATGAAAACAAAGACACAGCATACCAGAATCTCTGGGACACATTCAAAGCAGTGTGTAGAGGGAAATTTACAGCACTACATGCCCACAAGAGAAATCAGGAAACATCTAAAATTGGCACCCTAACATCACAATTAAAAGAGCTAGAAAGGCAAGGGCAAACACATTCAAAGCCAGCAGAAGGCAAAAAATAACTAAGATCAGAGCAGAACTGAAGGACACAGCGACACAAAAACCCTTCAAAAAATCAATGAATCCAGGAGCTGGTTTTTTGAAAAGATCAACAAAATTGATAGACCACTAGCAAGACTAATAAAGAAGAAAAGAGAGAAGAATCAAATAGACGCAATAAAAAATGATAAAGGGGATATTATCAATGATCCCACAGAAATACAAGCTACCATCAGACAATACTATAAACACCTCTACGCAAATAAACTAGAAAATCTAGGAGAAATGGACAAATTCCTGGGCACATACACCCTCCCAAGACTAAACCAGGAAGAAGATGAATCTCTGAATAGACCAATAACAGGCTCTGAAATAGAGGCAATAATTAATAGCTTAACAACCAAAAAAAGTCCAGGACCAGACGGATTCACAGCCGAAATCTACCAGAGATACAGGGAGGAGCTGGTACTATTCCTTCTGAAACTATTCCAATCAACAGAAAAAGAGAGAATCCTACCTAACTCATTTTATGAGGTCAGCATCATCCTGATACCAAAGCCTGGCAGAGACACAACCAAAAAAGAGAATTTTAGACCAATATCCCTGATGAACATTGATGCAAAAATCCTCAATAAAATACTGGCAAACCGAATCCAGAAGCACATCAAAAAGCTTATCCACCATGATCAAGTGGGCTTCATCCCTGGGATGCAAGGCTGGTTCAACATACCCAAATTAATAAATGTAATCCAGCATATAAACAGAACCAAGGAAAAACACCATATGATTATCTCAATAGATGCAGAAAAGGCCTTTGTCAAAATTCAACTACCCTTCATGCTAAAAATTCTCGATAAATTAAGTATTGATGGGACATATCTCAAAATAATAAGAACTATCTATGACAATCCCACAGCCAATATCATATTGAATGGGCAAAACCTGGAAGCATTCCCTTTGACAACTGGACAAGACAGGGATTCCCTCTCTCACCACTCCTATTCAACATAGTGTTGGAAGTTCTGGCCAGGGCAATAGGCAGGAAAAAGAAATAAAGGGTATTCAGTTAGGAAAAGAGGAAGTCAAATTTTCCCTGTCACAGATGACATGATTGTATATCTAGAAAACCCCATCGTCTCAGCCCAAAATCTCCTTAAGCTGATAGGTAACTTCAGCAAAGTCTCAGGATACAAAATCAATATGCAAAAATCACAAGCATTCTTATACACCAATAACAGACAAACAGAGAGACAAATCATGAGTGAACTCCCATTCACAATTGCTTCAAAGAGAATAAAATACCTAGAAATCCAACTTACAAGGGATGTGAAGGACCTCTTCAAGGAGAACTACAAACCACTGCTCAATGAAATAGAAGAGGATACAAACAAATGGAAGAACATTCGAATCTCATGGGTAGGAAGAATCAATATCGTGAAAATGGCCATAGTGCCCAAGGTAATTTATAAATTCAATACCATCCTCATCAAGCTACCAATGACTATCTTCACAGAATTGGAAAAAAACTACTTTAAAGTTCACATGGAACCAAAAAAGAGCCCGCATTGCCAAGTCAATGCTAAGCTAAAAGATCAAAGCTGGAAGAATCACGCTACCTGACTTCAAACTATACTACAAGTCTACAGTAACCAAAACAGCACTGTACTGGTACCAAAACAGAGATGTAGACCAATGGAACAGAACAGAGCCCTCAGAAATAATGCCACGTATCTACAACAATCTGATCTTTGACAAAGCTGACAAAAACAAGAAATGGAGAAATGATTCCCTATTTAATAAATTGTGCTGGGAAAACTGGCTAGCCATATGGAGAAAGCTGAAACTGGATCCCTTCCTTACAACTTATACAAAAATTAATTCAAGATGGATTAAAGACTTCAATGTTAGACCTAAAACCATCAAAACCCTAGAAGAAAACCTAGGCAATATCACTCAGGACATAGGCATGGGCAAGGACTTCATGTCTAAAACACCAAAAGCAATGGCAACAAAAGCCAAAATTGACAAATGGGATCTAATTAAACTAAAGAGCTTCTGCACAGCAAAGGAAACTACCATCAGAGTGAACAGGCAACCTACAGAATGGGAGAACATTTTTCCAACCTACTCATCTGACAAAGGGCTAATATCCAGAATCTACAATGAACCCAGACAAATTTACAAGAAAAAAACAAACAACCCCATCAAAAAGCGGGCAAAGGTTATGAACAGATACTTTTCAAAAGAAGACGTTTATGCAGACAAAGACACGTGAGAAAATGCTCATCATCACTGGCCATCAGAGAAATGCAAATCAAAACCACAATGAGATACCATCTCACACCAGTTAGAATGGCGATCATTAAAAAGTCAGGAAACAACAGGTGCTGGAGAGGTTGTGGAGAAGTAGGAACACTTTTACACTTTTGGTGGGACTGTAAACTAGTTCAACCATTGTGGAAGTCAGTGTGACGATTCCTCAGGGATTTAGAGCTAGAAATACCATTTGACTCAACCATCCCATTACTGGGTATATACCCAAAGGATTATAAATCATGCTGCTATGAAGACACATGCACACGCATGTTTATTGTGGCACTATTCACAATAGCAAAGACGGAACCAAGCCAAATGTCCAACAATGATAGACTGGATTAAGAAAACGTAGCACGTATACACCATGGAATACTATGCAGCCATAAAAAAGGATGAGTTCATGTCCTTTGTAGGGACATGGATGAAGCTGGAAACCATCATTCTCAGCAAACTATTGCAAGGACGAAAAACCAAACACCACACTGTCTCACTCATAGGTGGGAATTGAACAATGAGAACACATGGACACAGGAAGGGGAACATCACACACCGGGGACTGTTATGGGATGGAGGGAGTGGGGAGGGATACCATTAGGGATATACCTAATGTTAAATGACGAGTTAATGGGTGCAGCACACCAATGGTGCATGTATACATATGTACCAAACATGCACATTGTGCACATGTACCCTAAAACTTAAAGTATAAAAAAATAAATAAATAAATAAAGAACACCAGTGAAAAGATTAACCATTACATATTCGACATAATTTACAAGAAACATAAAAGAACAAGAAATTGTTGGTTTCAAACATAAAAGTGGTTCCCCTTTCCACTGTCTGCAAGAGCTAAGTACTCTAAACCCAAGAAAGGTCATCAAAATAAATGTCATTTGAAAGTTATGGATGTTATGACACTTAGAAAGACTACAGAAAAATTTAACGGTGTGTCTCATAAGTACCTTAAACTAGAGAATCATAATTCTAAGATTCTTAAAGTGTTATATGACTGCATATAGAGTTTCAGCCCAAGTCTGGGATGGACCAGTTTCAAAGATATTTTTGAGTATGGTCCTTGTATATTCCACAAAATCTTTAAAAACTTACACTAAGGGAAGCATCACAGCCTTCCCTTCTGAACAGGGGCATCCATTTTATTACCTATTCCTCTCTTTCTCCATTGTGTGCTGAGAATGTGGAGGAAATACCCTGTCTCAAAGATCTGTAAATAGTAAAAGCCATAATTTAAAATGTGCACAGTAAAACCCGCCCCCAAGGAGCCCCATCCACACTCAGTCTCGATGTAGAAGTTGAGATCTTGAACTTCAATCAGATGTCATGATGGGATGACTTTGTAATTGAGCTAGGAGCATCCAAATCCTGTCTTCTTTCTTTGGGATCCTTGACTTGCCCTTAGAAACCTGAAAACTTCACTGGGAAGACCTTGACTACATACCTCCTTACCTACATGAGGACGGACACTCCTCCTATAATAAATATAGTTAACTTTTTACCCAAGAGTTTTTCTATAGCATTTCTCATCTCTGAATTTCTCAACGTATATATTAAAGGACTCAGCATGTGTGTGATAATGGTATAAAACACAGTCATGAACTTATCAGTAGGAAAGTTTGAAACAGGTCTAACATATATGAAAATACAGGGTACAAAAAAGAGGACAACAACGGTACTGCCGGAGCTGCAGGTAGACAAGGCTTTACCCCTCTTTTCCTGACTGTAAGTTTTAAGGGAGCTTAGGATGACTCCATAGGAGATTAACAGAAGGTTGAAAATGACCATACAGATTGCTCCACTATTGACAACAACAGTGAGGCCTATAAAGTAGGTGTCAGTGCATGCCAGTTCCAGTAATGGGTGCATGTCACAACTGAAATGAACAATGACATTGGGACCACAGAAAGGGAGACTGTACACAACAATTTGAAACGCAGAATGTACAAAACCTCCAATCATGGCCACCACCAACAGAAGGAAGCAAACCTGTCGATTCATGATGGTCAAATAGTGCAGTGGCTTACAGATGGCCACATAGCGATCACAGGCCATCACCACCAGAAGGAAGACCTCAGCCCCACCAAAGAAATGGTCTATAAATAGCTGGCCCATGCAACCTTGGAAGGAAATAGTCTTTTTATCACAGAATAAGCCTACAATTAACTTGGGAGAAATGGTAGTGGAATATGCAGCATCTATAAATGACAGGCAGGCAAGGAAGAAATACATTGGGGAACCCAAGGAAGGGCTGGCAATAATATCCACCACAATGAGCAGGTTCCCCACCACTGTCACCAAGTATGTGAGTAAAAACATGACAAATAATGCTTTTTGCACACCAGGATCCTGAGAAAAGCCCAGGAGGACAAATTCTGTAATATTGTTATTCTGTCTCATTTACTCTTCTTTAAGGCTTGTATCAGAGGTGAGAGCTCAGGGAAACAGGGCCTGTAACGAAATAGTGATCAGGAATATGATTACATCCATTGTGTCACAGGGCACATCTTCATTGCTGTATCCTGAATAGTGATTTACACATAATAAATATTTAGTAAGTCTCTATTGAGTTCCTCACCCAAAGAGCCCATCTTGCCCTGATGATTCTATTTCTCCTCAAATATTTTAGTTTCAGTGCACAGGTAAAGGCTTCTACCTCTAAGTTTTAGTGAATATTCTATATAGAAGAACAGTTAAAGTCCCAACAGCCATTTGTACATTTCATAATTTCTGATTTAAAACATTTTATTGGCATGGAAGTCAGCTGTGATGAATAGGCAATGGGTCCTTCATCTCAAGAAACTTACTCTCTGGTGGTGGTAATAAACTCTAAATAAATAAATTGACATAGATTTAGTCCTTTATGTTTGTACTTGTGGTATCTTTGTAATATAATCTGTATAGCACCAAGAATAATCTCTTCTGGAATATCTCACTCAGTACTCTGACCTTCTACTGCTAGAACTTCATTCCTTCATGCCTCAAAGGATGTTCATTAGTCTTTCATTAAATGTCAAAAGACAAGACTCTGAACTGTATAAATGCTATGACATTATTTATCACATTGTTCCTTGTAGCAATTACTTGATGTGACTCTCTGTTCTCTTTATAAGGATCTGTGATTCTGTCCATTTTATCCTTGCCTGTACACAAATTTTTACAACACATATATACAATATCCTAATTTTCAGCAATTAATTTTGAACTCAAGTGAACTAACTCATGACTGTCACTAACTACCGAATAAGCAGTTAGTACTTTTTTCTGAATTCTTGGGAGGAGCTAGTTAGTGAGATAGAAGAAAATAGACACTGTAGAAAGAGGGACATGGTTTTATTCATAACACAATTTAGATACCAAGAGTACTCAAAAATGTAATCTTAGTTACAAGATTTCAAAAAGAATCATACTCTAAGAGAAATTCCAAGTTCAGTGTAAGAAGGCACGGATTTGATTCTGAATACATTTACAAGTCTGCCTCAGTTTGCTCACTGGAAAACAATGGGATTAAATTTGAGAAATTCAGAATCCTTTCTAGTCAATTATCTACAGAACTATTCATGCACCTCTCTTTTATGATATTCTGCTGACAATTTGTTTTTCATTTTTTATAAATTTATAATTAAATAAAAATTTCCAAGCTCATGACGTTTACATGAAAAATGGTAGTCAGTGGGACATGGGGTTTCATGATTACAGTGAATAAATAGTGACTATACGTGTCTCATTCAGCATGTACCTATTTAAGATCCAAGACATCTTTGGAGAGAAAGTGTAGCATGTGGTGAATAATGTGGACACTGGAGCCACACTGCTTCAGCTACAACCTCAAGTTCACCACTTTTTATGAGAGTTTGGGCCATTTACTAAAGCTCTCTATCCCTTACTTGCATCATTTTTAAAATGAGGAGTCCAACAACCCTTACCTATTAGAGTTGTCGTTTTATTAAAACAAAGTAAAGTGCCTAGAACACTGGCTGGCACCTGGGAAGGACTCAATAAATGATAGCTATTATTACTGTTTTTGAATGCTTCACTGTGAACACAGAATCAGAACAAATTATTCAGATCTCTGTCAACTTGAAAAGATTTATAGACGTAGTCCAGGAAAAAAAAAGGATAAGATACGTACAATTCAGGAAAGCCTGTTATGGCCAAACAATAAAACTCTATGTCTTAGAAAATAATGATTTAATTATGTGAGTAGTAATTTTACCTGTGATGGAACGTATCTTAGTGAAAAGCAAGCAGAAGTATAGTAAAAATTTGGACCCACCATCAGAGGGAGCTCAGGGAATGAAAAGAAGACTAAAATAAGAAAACAGAGAAATCATAGTTAACAAATGAGTATCCACAAGCAATAAGAAGGTTAATGGGACAATTAAGTAATTAAGTGAGATTATTATTCTTTTAAAATTCTCTTCAGAAAGATTCCTTTTAGTGAGAAAATGCTGGAAGTGAAACCTCCTGTCGGTCCGTGGGGTGACTCAGGAGGCTTTTTGGGGTAGATGTAACAAAAACAAACCAGATACTAGTAAAAGAAAAGAAAAGAAAAGAAAAGAAAAGAAAAGAAAAGAAAAAAGAAAAGAAAAGAAAAGAAAAACACGCATTGTTACTCTTAAGTCTCTAGTACTGATGGTTAAGGACAAACCAATTACAGAGAACAATGGGACAAGTAGAGATACAAACCCAGACTTTCTGATTCTTCACTGCTGAGGAAAGCTGCAGAATTACTAAACCTCAAATGTAGACAGGATGGTTCCATTTACATAGATCTGGTAGTGGAAGAGGAGGTGTGCAGAGAGAGTTTGGGCTGTCTCTAGAAGTCAGCTGTGATGAACATTCCACATGCCCCACGTTACCATTTCCAGCTGATTCCAGAGTTCTGTCATTGTTGAAGCTATAGACTGACAGAGAGGCAACTGCTGAAGAACACAAGGGAATAATGTAGTCTATAGCCAATTCTGTTATTTTTTTCACACCTTACTTGCTGCAAGGTTTAGTGCCTTTTCCCTCTTCCATCATGAAAACTAGATTTCAACAGGATAATCCTTTGGCAATTTAAATGTTTACTTGTAAAAAATAGGGTGAGTAAACCGTCCTCTGTAGTTTAAGTAAGTAATTACAAATGGAATACTTTAGAAACTGAAAGATAGGATTACAAGACTTTCAATGTAAACTGCTAAGTTAAAGTTTTTCTAGAAAAACATGATTTAACATAGTTTCCTAAGAACATGATATTTTCAAAAGATAAAATCCCATAATAACAGAAAACCTCTATAATATTATATTTCACAATCATAGTTTTATAAATCTATTTAAATGACAGTAGACTAGATACTTTCCTCAGCATATTTATCTACTAGTATGTTTGCTGGGATTTTTTAGATTCGTAAGTAAAAACCCATATTATGCTTCCAGAACATAACAGGCATTGGTTCCTTCACACTCTAACACACTTGACATGATCTGCAATTTTAAACTCCCTAATCAAATATATCTGAAAGTAATTGTACACTTTTATTAATATATCATATAAAATACAACATCTCAAAAATTAAGATTATAATTATAAATCTATTGGTTTATTAAGCATGTAGTATGGAACTTTTTTTTTATTTAACAAATAGAAAAGAAGAAAAATAAATTAGGCTATATATTAAAACCAAATATACATTGTATGTTCCAAAAAGTTTTCATGTTTCCTGGCTAACTTTCCCAATTAAATTCCTTCAACAATATCATATGGTATTTAAGATATTAGCTACATTTCCTCATATCACAAGAATTTTCAATGAATATCTCCTGTCACTGGTTTCAAATGCTCACACTGTAATCCAGAAAAGCAATGCTTCTTTCACTGAGTGTTAATGTAGACATCTCATGCACCTATTTGTGATCACAGAACATGTAAATATGAATGACTGATCCAGGGTTAGAGAACTAGTTTCTAATGGCTACAGTTTCCACAATTCCACACAGGATTCTCATTATCTCAGTTGTTACAGAGGTATGGAAATATCCAAAGCAGATGACCAAAATATAAAGAGGCTTAAACATAATACACAAAGGTAGTTAAATAATCTCACCTGCTGGAAAATTTCTTCATAAAAAACCAAAAATATTATCATTGCATGACTATGTAAAAATTGACCTAATTAATGAAAATTAACCTGGACAAGACCCTTATTTTGTGACACAAGTGAACAAAAATATACCAACACTAAAATTTGTTACATGAAAGTTTCCTCAATTATGGTGAAGTAACCATAAGTACTTTACTGTGATTGAGGATTTATGATAACATTCATGTGCCCAGCTATTAAGCTTTGTACCTAACAAGGACAATGCTGAAATTTAACTTTATGGAAAAAACAATGACAGAACTTTCTCACAGGCAGAAGCCAAACTCTTCAGTTTTTCGGTCATTCAGATATAATTCCAATAGCGTACCCCTAAATCTACTTCTTTCCTAATTAAAATCATGTCTTTATATCTCCCCACCTCAGCCCAGTACATTGAGAACTTTAACAAATTTTTACACAACATGGAGGATATGACAAGAAAACACCACACCTAAAGGACTAGATACCAAATGAAGACATGCTCTACCTTGGGTAGAAATTTAACTCTTCAGATATCTCTTGGGTTATTCTATCAGGAAAATAATATTTCCATTTATGTGTGTAGACACAATCTATGACTTTTGCATCATCGTATTTTAAATAAAAGAGAGTGTAAGGTCATTATAGGTTAGTTAATTTCATTATTTGGAATAAATTCAAATGAAGTAAACTCTCCGAACATCTTTTTTTCCCCCTAGAAACTCCCTAGAGGGAAAAGATTTGGGCATCACCAAGGAAGAGTAGCTAAATGCCAAGTAATGTGAAAAGCCTATAATGTGAAAAGAAAAATTTTAAAATAAATTGAACAAAAATTATGAGTTTCACTTTATGAAATACTGAGGTAAGGCAAGTAATATTTAAGCCAGAATGAAGGGGGAACCAGTCCCAGGTTCTTTACCCTAAGCACATTCCCAAAAAGAAGGGCTTTACATTTCCTGTTAGAAATTCCATGCCCAAGAAGTCCTGAGGCTCAGAGGCAGGCAGCCTAAGAACAGAATTTGACATTCTGATTCTTGAAAAAGCAGGTAATCATAGTTCTGCAGTTTTAGATCAGAGTAAAGGCTTTTGATCAAGGCCTGAATCTATGTCAGATATAACCATAATGATCTATAGTCCATTAATTCAGTTACTTAATAATTGTATTCCAACATCAATTCAGTAACTGTTTCTACAATAAAGAAATTTGTATTTTTCAACAAGGGAGCAATGCTTAAGGGCTTCCATTGTTATTTCCGTGACTTGGCTTACCATTGGCTCCATTGAACACGTTCATCTCATCATATGTTTAGTTAAATATTGGATCTTCTGTGTCATAAGAGTGTTAGATACAGAGTCCCATAAATACATATCTGAACCAGCTAATGAGTTTATCATGTATTGGGCTCCACTAAAAGTTGGTCATTTTCAACTTACCTAATACATGGATGAAATTCATCCACACCAAATGTAATCTGTATCACTTCTAAAATTTAAAGACTATGTCTGTAAGCACTGCGCTCTCTTACTTGTAAGTGGTAAAAGATGCACAAACGTATAATTCTGAAGAACTATCAGATATGATCAAAGATACCATGGATTAAATTATGACTCCAAGATGGACAACTAATATGAAAATAAACCAAAATTCTGTATGTCCCTTCTAGCTGAATTCAAATAACCACTAATTCTTCCCACTTTTCAGAATGACACAAAAGTGTTTGTTAGATCAGATGATGCAGGAGGGAGAAGAAGCGACAGCAGGAGAAATGACAGACACTTATGAAACCATCAGATCTCATTAGAACTCACTCATGATCAAGAGAACAACATGGGGGAAACCACCTCATAATTCAAATACCCTCCACCTAGTTCCTTCCACAACACATGGGGATAATGGGGACTACAATTCAATATGAGATTTGGGCACAGGCAAAGCCAAACTATATCAGCATGTTAGGTACTGCCAGGTATTTTTAATACTGAGGATTTCAGGGATCATGGTGGATAGGAGGCAGGACTAGATTGCAGCTCTGGAAAGAGCAGCTTACGGAGGCTTGCACTGTGAATTTTAGCTCCAGAATGACTACAACAACACACCAGTCATCCTGAGAGGACCCACAAACCCTCTGAAAGAAGCAGACTGCTCCTGCAGGACCCAGGAGACACCTCAAATACTGTGAGTGCCGTAATTGGAGAAGTGGGAAACGGAGACCCTCCTCTCCCGAACACACACCTGCACTAGAGAAGCTGAAGGTCGGTTTGCAGGAGAAATTCCTGACTTTACCTGGAGCTGAGTCAAGTTAGAGAGCCAAGCCAAGAAAAATACAGGGGTAGAGGAAACAGCAGAAAGGCCCTGGGGGCTCACTGGATCCCCAAGCAGCCCATTCCTGTCTGGCACCACAGGGATCCATCAGGAGGGTGGCCAGAGGAGCAAGCAGTGAAACTCCCCAGAGAGAAGGACTTCTCAAGCTGAACTTTGTAACTATTTGAATGGGATGAGAAACCTCCTGGCCAGAACTCGGGGGAGGGCTCAAATCTGGTATGCAGACTTCACAGGTCAGGGAAGAAATAAATCCCTTTTTTTCCACACCTGAGAGACAGAAAGCCTTGGGCAAGTTTTCAAGCCCTACTTGCCCTCCACCTAGAAACAGACTCAGATTACTATGGGGGACACGGTGTGAGTGAGACCTCTCCTTCTGTTTGCATGGGAACTGGGTGAGGCCCATGACTGCTTGCTTTCCCACACTTCCCTGACATCCTGCAGGACTCAGCAGAGGCACCCATAATCTTCCTAGGTACACAAACCAATGACCTCAGAATATCACACCCATCCCCCACAGCAGCCACAGCCAGACCCACCAAAGGAGAGTCTGAGCTCAGACATGCCTAGCCCCACCCCCAAATGATGGTCCTTCCCTATCCACACTGGTAGCGGAAGACAAAGGGCATATAATCTTGGGAGTTCTAGGGCCTCACCCACAGCCTTTCCCTTTCCACAATACTACAGCTGATGCTTTCTGGAAAGTGCCACCTCCTGGCAGAGGCCAACAAGCACAAAAATAGAGCATTAAACCACCAAATCTAAGGAGCCCTATGGAGTCCATTGCACCCTCCGCCACCTCCACTGGAACAGGCGCTGGTATCCATGGCTGAGAGATCCATAGATGGTTCATTCACACAACTCTGCAGACAACCTCAGTGCAAGCCCAGAGCAGGGTAGACTCTCTGGGTGGCTACACCCAGATGAGAGACAAACATCACTGTAGATTGGCTCACAAGAAGCAACATCCACAGGAAAACGTGAAAAATACTACATCAAGGGAACACCTCCTGGGACAAAAAAAATTCTGAATGACGGCCTCCAGCCCTAGACCTTCCATCTGGCAGAGCTTACGCCAATGAGAAGGAACCAGAAAACCAACCCTGGTAATATGAGAAAACAAGGATCTTCAACACCCCCAAAAAATCACACTAGTTCACCAGCAATTAATCCAAACCAAGAAGAAATCCCTGATTTTCCTGAAAAAGAATTCAGGAGGTTAGTTATTAAGCAAATTAGGGAGGGACCAGAGAAAGGTGAAGCCCAATGCAAGGAAATCCAAAATGGGATACAAGAAGTGAATGGAGAAATATTCAAAGAAATATATAGCTTAAAGAAAAAAACATTCAAAAATTCAGGAAACTTTGGACACACTGTTAAAAATGTAAAATGCTCTAGAAATACTCAGAAATAGAATTGAACAAGTAGAAGAAAGAAATTCAGAGCTCGAAGACAAGGTGTTTGAATTAACCTAATCCAACTGAGACAAAGAAAAATGAATAAGAAAATATGAGCAAAGCCCCCAAGAAGTCTTGAACTTCATTAAATGGCCAAACCAAATAATAATCAGTGTTCCTGAGGAAAAAGAAAATTCTAAAAACTTGGGAAACATCTTTGGGAAAATAATAGAGGAAAACTTCCCCAGCCTTGCTAGAGACCTAGACATCCAAGTACAAGAAGCAAAAAGAACACCAGGAAATTCATCTCACAAGGAGGTCTTGGCCTAAGCACATTGTCACCAGGTTATCCAAAGTTAAGACAAAGGAAAGAATCTTAAGAGCTGTGAGACAGAAGCTCCAGGTAACCTATACAGAAAAACCTATCAGATTAAGAGCAGATTTCTCAGCAGAAACCCTACAATGCGGAAGGGATTGGAGCTCTATCTTCAGCCTCCCCAAAGAAAACAATTATCGACCAAAAATTTTGTATCCAGAAAAACTAAGCATCATGTATCAAGGAAAGACAGTCTTTTTCAGCCAAACGAATCCTGAAAGAGTTTGCCATTACCAAGCCACCACTACAAGAACTGCTAAAAGGAGCTTGAAATCCTGGAACAAACCTGAAAACACCAAAAAACAGAAACTCTTTAAAGCATAAATCACACAGGACCTGTAAAACAAAAATACGTTAAAAAGCAAAAACAAAAGAACCAAAGTACACAGGCAACAAAGAGCACAATGAATGTGATGGTGCTGTCATTTCAATATTAACATTGAATGTAACTGGCCTAAATGCTTCACTTAAAAGATACAGAACTGCCGAATGGATAAGAACTCACCAACCATCTGCTGCCTTCAGGAGACTCACTTAACACATAAGGACTCACATAAAATAAAAGTAAAGATGCGGAAAAAGGCATGTCATGCAAATGGGCACCAAAAGAAAGCAAGCAGGGGTAGCTATGCTTATATCAGACAAACTTTAAAGCAACAGCAGATAAAAGAGACAAAGCAGGACATTATATAATGGTAAAGCAACTTGTCCAACAGGAAAATATCACAATCCTAAATATATGTGCACCTAACACTGGAACTCTCAAATTTATAAAACAATTACTAATAGACCTAAGAAATGACATAGGCAGCAACACAATAATAGTGGGAGTCTTGAATATTCCAATGACAGTACTGGACAGGTCATCAACAGAAAGTCTACAAAGAAGCAATGGATGTAAACTATACCTGGGAACAAATGGGATTAGCAGATGATATATACAGAACATTTCATCCAACAACCACAGAAGACACTTTCGATTCAGCAGCACACAGAACTTTCTCCAAGACAGACCATAAGATAGACCATAAAATGAGCCTTGATAAATTTAAGGAAACTGAAATTATATCAAGCACTCTCTCAGATCACAGTGGAACAAAACTGGAAATCAACACAAAAAGGAGCCTTTGAAACCATGCAAATGCATTATAATTTAAAAACGTGCTCCTGAATGAGCATTGCCACAAAAACAAAATCAAGATGGAAATTAAAAAATTCATTGAACTGAACAACAATAATGACACAATATATCAAAACACCAAGCAGACCTAATAGACATCTACAGAACTCTCCACCCCAAATCAACAGAATATACATTCTTTTCAGCACCACACCACAACTATTCCAAAATTGACCACATACTTGGAAGTAAAGCACTCCTCAGCAAATGTAAAAGAACAGAAATTATAAAAACTGTCTCTCAGACCACAGTGCAATCAAACTAGAACTCAGGATTAAGAAACTCACTCAAAATGGCTCAACTACATGGAAACTGAACAACATGCTCCTGAATGACTACTGGGTACATAACAAAATGAAGGCAGAAATAAAGATGTTCTTGGAAACCAGTGAGAACAAAGACACAACATACCAGAATCTCTGGGACACATTCAAAGCAGTGTGTAGAGGGAAATTTGTAGCACTAAAAGCCCACAAAGAAAGCAGGAAAGATCCAAAATTGACACCCTAACATCACAATTAAAAGAAGTAGAAAAGTAAGAGCAAACACATTCAAAAGCTAGCAGAAGGCAAGAAATAACTAAAATCAGAGCAGATCTGAAGGAAATAGAGACACAAAAAACCCTTCAAAAAATTAATGAATCCAGGAGCTGGTTTTTTGAAAACATCAACAAAATTGATAGACTGCTAGCAAGACCAATAAAGAAGAAAAGAGAGAAGAAGCAAATAGATGCAATAAAAAATGAGAAAGGGGACATCACCACCAATCCCACAGAAATACAAACTACCATCAGAGAATACCAAAACACCTCTATGAAAATAAACTACAAAATCTAGAAGGAATGGATAAATTCCTCGACACATACATCATCCCAAGACTAAACCAGGAAGAAGTTGAATCTCTGAATAGACCAATAACAGGATCTGAAATTGTGGCAATAATCAATAGCTTACCAACCAAAAAAAGTCAAGGACCAGATGGATTCACAGCCGAATTCTACCAGAGGTACAAGGAGGAACTGGTACCATTCCTTCTGAAACTATTCCAATCAATAGAAAAAGAGGGAATCCTCCCTAACTCATTTTATGAGGCCAGCATCATTCTGATACCAAAGCCTGGCAGAGACACAACCAAAAAAGAGAATTTTAGTCCAATATCTTTGATTAACATTGATGCAAAAATCCTCAATAAAATACTGGCAAACCAAATCCAGCAGCACATCAAAAAATTTATCCACCATGATCTAGTGGGCTTCATCCCTGGGGTGCAAGGCTGGGTCAACATATGCAAATCAGTAAATGTAATCCAGCGTACAAACAGAACCAAAGACAAAAACCACATGATTATCTCAATATGCGGAAAAGGCCTTTGACAAAATTCAACAACCCTTCATGCTAAACACTCTCAATAAATTAGGTACTGATGGGACATATCTCAAAATAATAAGAGCCATATATGACAGACCCACAGCCAATATCATACTGAATGGGCAAAAACTGGAAGCATTCCCTTGGAAAACTGGCACAAGACAGGCATGCCTTCTCTCACCACTCCTATTCAACATAGTGTTGGAAGTTCTGGCCAGGACAATCAGACAGGAGAAGGAAATAAAGTGTATTCAACTAGGAAAAGAGGAAGTCAAATTGTCCCTGTTTGCAGATGACATGGTTGTATATATAGAAAACTCCATTGTCTCAGCCCAAAATCTCTTTAAACTGATGAGCAACTTCAGCAAAGTCTCAGGATACAAAATCAATGAACAAAAATCACAAGCATTCTTATACACCAATAACAGACAAACAGAGAGCCAAATCATGAGTGAATTCCCATTCACAATTGCTTCAAAGAGAAGAAAATACCTAGGAATCCAACTTACAAGGGATGTGAAGGACCTCTTCAAGGAGAACTACAAACCACTGCTCAATGAAATAAAAGAGGATACAAACAAATGGAAGAAAATTCCATGCTCATGGGTAGGAAGAATCAATATCATGAAAATGGCCATACTGCCCAAGATAATTGATAGATTCAATGCCATCCCTATCAAGCTAAGAATGACTTTCTCACAGAATTGGAAAAAAATTACTTTAAAGTTCATGTGGAACCAAAAAAGAGCCTGCATTTCCAAGTCAATCCTAAGCCAAAAGAACAAAGGCCGGAGGCATCATGCTACCTGACTTCAAACTATACTACAAGTCTACAGTAACCAAAAGAGCATGGTACTGGTACCAAAACAGAGATATAGATCAATGGAACAGAACAGAGCCCTCAGAAATATTGCCGCATATCTACAACCATCTGATCTTTGACAAACCTGATGAAAACAAGCAATAGGGAAAGGAGTCCCTATTTAATAAATGGCTCTGGGAAAACTGGCTAGCCATATGGAGAAAGCTGAAACTGGATCCCTTCCTTACACCTTACACAAAAATTAACTCAAGATGGATTAAAGACTTAAATGTTAGTCCTAAAACCATCAAAACCCTAGAAGAAAACCTAGGCATTACCATTCAGGACATAGGCATGGGCAATGACTTCATGTCTAAAACACCAAAAGCAATGGCAACAAAAGCCAAAATTGACAAATGGGATCTAATTAAACTAAAGAGCTTCTGCACAGCAAAAGAAACTACCCTCAGAGTGAACAGGCAACCTACAAAGTGGGAGAACATTTTTGCAACCTACTCATCTGACAAAGGGCTAGTATCCAGAATCTACAATGATCTCAAACAAATTTAGAAGAAAAATCAAACAACCCCATCAAAAAGTGGGCGAAGGATATGAACAGCCACTTCTCAAAAGAAGACATTTAAGCAGCCAAAAGACACATGAAAAAATGCTCATCATCACTGGCCATCAGAGAAATGCAAATGAAAACCACAATGAGATACCGTATCACACCAGTTAGAATGGCGATCATTAAAAAGTCAGAAAACAACAGGTGCTGGAGAGGATGTGGAGCAATAGGAACACTTTTACACTGTTGGTGGGACTGTAATCTAGTTCAACCATTGGGGAAGTCAGTGTGGCAGTTCCTCAGGGATCTAGAACTAGAAATACCATTTGACTCCGCCATCTCATTACTGCGTATATACCCAAAGGATTATAAATCATGCTGCTATGAAGATACATGCACACGTATGTTTATTGTGGTACTATTCACAATAGCTAAGACTTGGAACCAACCCAAATGTCCAACAGTGATAGACTGGATTAAGAAAAGGTGGCAGATATACACAATGGAATACTATGCAGCCATAAAAAGGGATGAGTTCATGTCCTTTGTAGGGACATGGATGAAATTGGAAACCATCATTCTCAGCAAACTATCGCAAGGAGAAAAAACCAAACATTGCATGTTCTCACTCATAGGTGAGAACTGAACAATGAGAACACATGGACACAGGAAGGGGAGCATCACACACCGGGGACTGTTGTGGGGTGGGGGGAGGGGGGAGGGATAGCATTAGGAGATATACCTAATGCTAAATGACGAGTTAATGGGTGCAGCACACCAACATGGCGCATGTATACCTATGTAACAAACCTGCACATTGTGCACATGTACCCTAAAACTTAAAAGTATAATAATAATAAAATTTTAAAAAAAGAAAAAAGAAAACTAAAGAATGTACAGAATCTTAATAATTTCTATACTGAATACTTATTGAAATCAAAATATTTAAGATATATTGGGTTAAATAAAATATACTACTAAAATTAAAAAAAAGAAAGAAAAAGAAAACAGCCCAAACTTGCTGGTTCCAAAAATAAAACTGGTTTCCCTTTCCAGTCTCTCCAAAGATCTAAAGACTCTCAATGTTAATAATGTCACCTAGCTTCTAATATTAAAGACAATGCCACATGCTTTAAGTGTCAGAAATAAAAGTCATATCAAAGTTGTCAATGGAAGGTCCTTTGAGAAGACTTCAGAAAGATTTTAAAGTGTGTTTCATAAATCCTACCAATGAAACAAAAATAATTCTAAGACTCCTATGGTAATTATCCCACTGCACACACACGGACTCTCAGCTCCAACCCAAGAAGAGTCAGTTGCAAAGATATTTGTGAGTGTGGCTCTTGTATAGTGTTTTAAATGACAATTTAAAAAACACAGAAATATTACAATGTTTTTTAGGAAATTGCATTGAAGGAAGCACCTTAGCATTTTCTTGTAAACAGTAGTGTCTATTTTTGGTTATTTACTCCTCTCTTCCTCCATTGTATGCTGAGAATGAGAAAGAAAAACCCTGTCTCTAGTCCATAGACCTGAAAATAGAGAACCAGAATAAAAGAGCTGTGCATTGGAAATTGTACCCCAAGAGCTTTGTCAACACTCACTCTGGATATAGAATTTGACATCCTGGATGTCAAATTGAGCTCATGATGGGACAAGATGTTAACTGACCTGGGAACTCCTGAATCCCGCTTTCCCAATCTAGGATCCCTGAATTGCCATTACAGGTCTAACAAACTCGCTGGAAAGGCTTTACCTGCATTACCCTGTACCTACATGAAAATGTACCCTCTTATTCTATCTAGAGTTAATATTTACACCAGAGGTTTCCTATAGCATTTTTCATCTCTCAGTTTCTCAATGTGTATATTAATGGATTCAACATGGGTGTGATAACTGTATAAAACACAGTAATGAATTTATTAATAGGAAAGTTTGAAACAGGTCTAACATACAGGAAAATACAGGGAACAAAAAACAGGACAACCACGGTAATGTGGGAGCTGCAGGTAGACAGGGCTTTATGCCTCCCTTCCTGACTATAAGTTTTAAGGGAGATTAGGATGACCCCACAGGAGATTAGTAGAAGGATGAACAAGACCATACAGATTCCTCCACCATTGGCAACAACAGTGAGGCCTATAAAGTAGGTGTCAGTGTGTGCCAGTTCCAATAATGGGTACATGTCACAGAAAAAGTGGTCAATGATATTGGGACCACAGAAAAGGAGACTGTACGCAACTAAAATTTGAAACACAGAATGCACAAAACCCGCAGTGACAGCCACCACCAACAGAAGGATGCAAACCTGTCAATTCATGATGGTGAAATAGTGCAGTGGCTTACAGATGGCTACATAGCGATTATAGGCCATCACCAACAGAATGAAGGCCTCAGCACCACCAACTAAGTGGTCTATAAAAGGGCTGACCCATGCAAGCTCGGAAGGAAATAGTCTTTTTATCATGGAGATAGCTTACAATCAATTTGGGAGGAATGGTGGTGGAATACACAACATCTATAAATGACAAGCAGACAATGAAGAAGTACACTGGGGAGCCTAAGGTGGGGGTGGCAATAATAGTCACCACAATGGGCAGGTTCCCCACCATAGTCATAATGTATGTGAGTAAATGTACGACAAATAATGCATTTTACACATCAGGATCCTGAGTAAGGCCTAGGAGGACAAATGCTGTAACATCGCTACTCAGTCTCATTTTCTATTCTCTGAGGCTTGTATCAGAGTAAAGAGCTCAGGAGAACAGGACCTGTAACAAAATACTGAACAGGAATATGAACACATCCACGATGTCACAGAGCACTTCTTCATCATTGTATCTTCAATAGTGATTTACACACATGATAAACATTTTGTAAGTCTCTATTGAGTTCCTCATCTCCTCAAAGATTTTCGTTTCAGCCTACAGTTAACAGCTTCTGCCTCTAAGTTTTAGTGAATATTCTGTACAGAAGAAGAGTTAAATGCCCAACAGCCATTCATATATTTCATAACTCCTTATCTAAAACATATTTCTTGGCACAGAAGTCAGCTATGATGAATAGGCAACAGATTATTGGTCTCAAGAATGTTACTTTCTCATGGTGGTAATAGATTCTAAATAAATAAATTCGTGTATATTCAGTGCTTTGAGTTTGTAGTTCTTGTAGTATCTTTATGATCTGTGTAGCATCAAAAGTAATATCTTCTGAAATATCTCACTCAGTACTGTGGCATTCCACAGTCACACATTCAGTCCTTCATGCCTCGAAAGATGTTCAGTCTTTATGAACACCTCATTAAATGTCAAGAGACTGGACATTAACCTGAATAAATAGCAAAATATTATTTATCACATTATTCCCTGTAGCAATTACTTGGTCTGACCCTCTGTTGCCTTATAAGGAGCTGCACATCTCTGCATCTTATTCTTGCCTATTCCACAATTTTTTAATCATATTTACATACAGTATCCTGATTTTCACCAACAAATTTTGAACTCAAGAAAACTAACTGATGGCTATCACCAACTGCCACATTAGCTGTGAGTTTTTTTTCTGATTTCTTGGGGTGAACTAGATAGTGAGAGAGGAGAAAATAAACACCGTACAAAAAGGTACAGAACAGAGGACACTGTTTTATTTTTAACACTATTTAGATACCAAGAGTATTCAAAAATAGAACCTTAGTGTCCAGATTCCAAAAAAAGCATACTGAAAGAGAAAGTCCACGTTCACTGTAAGATGACATCAATTTGAGTCATTTTCTGAATGAATTTACATGTCTGTCTCAGTTTGCTCACTGGAAAACAATGTGATTGAATTAGATGAACTGAGAATCGTTTCCAGTCAACCACCTACAAAACTATTAGTGCACCCCTCCCTTATTATATTCTGCTGACTCTTTCATTTTTCATATATTTATAATTAAATAGCAATTTCCAAGCTCATAACTGTTACATGAATAACGGTAGTCAGTGGTAGATGTTTCATGATTAGAGTGAGTAAATTATGACTACAAGTTTCCCACTCAATATGTGCCTATTTAAGATTCAAGAAATCCTTGGAAACAAAGTGTAGCATGTGGCGAATAATGGGGACAAAGGAGCCACACTGCCTCAGCTACAAGCCCAGTTTCACCACTTACTATATGATTTTGGGCCACTTACTAAACTGCTCTTTGCCTCATTTTCATTTGAAACATCTAGAGTTCTTTTATTACAACAAAGTAAAGTTTCCTAGAACACTGGCTGGCACCTGGTAAAGGCCCAGTAAAAGACAGCTAATACTTGTGTTCCTGAATGCTTCACTGTGAACACTGGATCAAAACAAATCATGCTGCTATAAAGACACATGCACATCTATGTTTATTGTGGCACTATTCACAATAGCAAAGACTTGGAACCAACCCAAATGTCCAACAATGATAGACTGGATTAAAAAAAAATGTGGCACATATACACCATGGAATACTATGCAGCCATAAAAAATGATGAGTTCATGTCTTTTGTAGGGACATGGATGAAACTGGAAACCATCATTCTCAGCAAACTATCGCAAGGACAAAAAACCAAACACTGCATGTTCTCACTCATAGGTGGGAATTGAACAATGAGAACACATGGACACAGGAAGGGGAACATCACACACTGGGGCCTGTTGTGGGGTGGGGGAGGGGGGAAGGATAGCATTAGGAGATATACCTAATGTTAAATGGCAAGTTAATGGGTGCAGCACACCAACATGGCACATGTATACATATGTAACAAACCTGCACGTTGTGCACATGTACCCTAAAACTTAAAGTATAATTAAAAAAAAAACAAATCATCTGCATCTTTGTCAATTTGAAAATATTTATAGGCATAGTCCAGAGGAAAAAATAATAGAAGACACATATAATTCAGGAAAAGCTTTTGGGGACACAATATAATTTTATGTCTTAGGTATTATCCATTTAATTATGTATGAGTAGTGATTTTATCTGTGATGGAAAGTATCTTGACAATATCAGGCAGAATTATAGTAGAAAATTTGGACCCATCATCAGACAGAGAGCTAAATGGTTAAAAAAATGAAAGAAAAAGTGATCAAATCGGAAAACAGAGTAATTACAATAAATAACTTAATGTCCATGGGTAATAAGAAGATAAAAATTAATGTGATAACTGAGTCTAGTGTTCTTCTAAAAATCTTCAGAGAGTGAGGAAATACTGGAAGCACAACCCGCTGTGGTCCCTGAGGAGACTCAAGAGGCTTCTTGGGGTAGCCAAACAAACACAGAGCAAATCCTAATAAACACCAAAAAGAAAAGAAAAGAAAACTCAGAAGAAAAACAAAACACATTGATTTATCAAAGTCTCTCCATCTGATGGTTAAAGACAAACTTAAATTATAGAGAACAATGGGACAAGTTGAGATAAAAACCCAGACTTTGTGATTATTCACTGCTGAGGAAAACTGCAGAATTACTAAACCTCGAATGTAGACAGGATGATTCCATTTACATAAATCTGGCAGTGGAAGAGGACGTGTGCAGAGAGAGTCTGAGCTGTCTCTAGAAGCCAGCTGTGATGCACTTTCCACATGTCTCATTCATGTTACCACTTCCAGCTGACAAAGCGTTCTGGCACTGTTGAAGCTATAGACTTATAGAGATGCACATGCTGAAGAACACAAGAGAATAATGTAGCCTATAGCGAATTCTGGTTTTTTTTTTTACATCTTGCTTGCTGCAAAGTTTAGTGTGTTTTCCCCCTTTCACCATCAAAACTACATTCAACAGGAAAATTCTATTTGGGAATTTAAATGTTTACTTGTAAAACTAGGGTATAAAATTATCCTTTATAGTTTAAATAGTTAAAAACATAATACTTTAAAAGCTGAAACATAGCATTACTAGGCTTTCAATGTAAACTGCTAAGTTAACAATTTTCTAGAAAAAATGATCTAATATAATTTCCTGAGTTCATGCCATTTTCAAAAGATAAAATTCTGTAATAACACAAAAACATCTATAATATTATGTTTCACAGTCACAGTTTTATAAATCTATTTAAATGACAGCTGACTAGGTACCTTCCTGACCATAGGTATCCATTAGTATGTTTGCTGAAATAATTTTTAGATTCATAAGTAAAATCCTGTATTATGCTTCCAGAACATAACAGACATTTGTTCATTTACACTTCAACAAACTTGACATGATCCAGAATTTTAAATTCTCTAATCAAATATATCTGAAAGTAATTGTACACATTTATTAATATATCATATAAAATATAATATCACAAACACTAAGATTACACATCTATTGATTCATTTATTATTAGGTGTAATATGGAACATGTTTTTCTTCTTATTTGACAAATGGAAACATACAAATAGGCTGTATATTAAAATCAAATATACATTGTATACATTGATAAATTTCCATGTGTGCTAGCTTAATTTTTCCAATTAGAATTTATCAAATAAAACCATTGGTTTTTAAGATATTAGCTACATTTCAACATATCACAGGAATTTTTAATGAATTATCTCTTGTCAATGGTTTCAAATACTCACATCTTGGTCCAGAAAAGCAATGCTTCTTTCACTGAGGATTGCCATAGATACCTCATGCCTCTATGTGTCCTCATGAAACACAGGAATATACGTGGCTGATCCATGGATATAGAACTAGTTCCTAGTGGCTACAGTTTCCACAGTTCCATGCAGGCTTCTCATTATCTTAGTCTTTAGAGAAGTATAGCACTATCCAAAGCAGATGACCAAACTATAATAATGCTTTAAGATAACGACAATATTTACTGTGAAAGGTAATTGAATATTCTCACGTGCTGGAAAATGCCTTCGAAGAAAAACAAAGAGACTGTCTCTGCTTGACTATGTAAAAGTGGAACTAATTAGTGGAAATTAACCTGGACAACACCCTTTTATATGACACAAGTAGCAACACTTATATTTGTTACTTGAATATTTTCTCAATTATAGTGAAGCAACCACAGGTACTTTACTGTCATTGAGGATTTATAACATTCATGTGCCCAGCTATTAAGCTTTGTACGTAACAAGGACAATGCTGAGATTTAACTTCATGGAGAATCCAGTGACAGAGCTTCCCACAGGCAGAAGCCAAACTCTTCAGTCTTTCAGTCATTCAACTAGCATATCCCTAAGACCACTTCTTTCCTAAGTAAAAGCATGTCTCTATATCTCCCCAATCTCATCCCAGGAAATTGAGAACTTTCACTCATTTTTACAAGCAATGGTAGACATTGCAAGAAAATATTACACCTAGAGGACTAGATACCAACTGAAGACATACTCTACCTTGGGCAGAAATTTAACTTTTTTGATATCTCCTGGGCTGCTCTATCAGAAAAATAATTCTTCCATTTATGTCTGTAGACACAGTCTATAACCTTTACATCAACAATATTTTAGAAAGAGAGAGTAACGTCACTATAGATTAGTTAGAATATTTGGAACAACTTCAAATGAAATAAACTCTCTGTATACTTTTTTCTTACAAAATTCCTAGAGGAAAAAGATTTGGTTCTTGCTAAGGAAAAGTAGCTAAATGACAAGTAATGTGAAATGCCTGCAATATGAAAAGAATAATTTTAAAGTGAATTGAATAATAAGTTATGAGATGCATGTTATGAAATATTTAGGTAAGGCAAGTAATATTTCAGCCAGAATTAAAGGAGAACCAGCCCCAGGTTCTCTTTGCTAAAAATGCTCCCGGTGAGGAGGGCCTTACCCTTCCTGTTAGAAAGTCTGTGCCCAAGAAGCCCCGAGGCTCAGAGGCAGAGAGCCTAAGAACGGAAGTTGACATTCTGATTCATGGAAAAATAGGTAATCATAGTGCTGCAGTTTTAGTTAGAGTACAGGCTTTTGAGGCTTTTGATCAAGACCTGTATCTAAGTCAGATATAACCATAATGATCAGTAGTCCATTGATATGGTTTGGCTGTGTCCCCACCCAAATCTCAACTTGAACTGTATCTTCCTCATTTTTCTCTTGCCACTGCCATGTAAGAAGTGCCTTGCACCTCCCACCATGACTCTGAGGCCTTTCAAGCCCTGTGGAAGTGTAAGTCTAATTAAACCTCTATTTCTTCCCAGTCTTGGGCATGTCATTATCAGCAGTGTGAAAACGGACTAATACATCCATTAACTCAATATTTTAATTATATTCTAATATCAATCCAATAACTGTTTCTACAATAAAGAAATTTTTATTTCCAACAAGGAAGCAGTATTTAAGGGCTTCCACTGTTATTTCCATGACTTGGCTTACCATTGGATCTATTGAACACCTTCATCTCATCATATGTTGAGCTAAATGTTTGATCTTTGTGTCATAAGAGTCTTAAAGAGTCCCATAAATACCTATCTGAGATAGTTAAGGTCTTTATCACATAACAGGCTACACTAAAAGTTAGTCATTTTCAACTTAGCTAGTAAATGGTTTAAACACATCACCCCAAATGTAATATGTATTACTGCTAAAATTCAAAGAGCATGTCTATACGTGCTGTGCTGTCTTACTGGTAAGTGTTAAAACATGCACGAAAATATTTTTATTCTGCAGAACTATCAGATATGATCAACGATACTGTGGTCTAAATTATGATTCCAAGATGAAGAACTAATATAAAAATATGACCTATATCCCAATACCAGAGTGGAAGAGGATGCTTCCTCAGCCAAGCTTTCATATGAGATGGTAGCCCCAACCATCACCTTGATTACAGTTTTGTGAGAGACCTTGAAGGATGGGAACCTAAGCCATCCTTAGTTTCCTGACCTACAGAAATTGAGAATGAGTACATATTGTTTGAATCACTAAATTTTGAAATAATTTCCTTTGTATAAATAAATAACTCATAAATATATCTAGAGTATGCTTCAAATATTGGGAAGCATGCCAATAAATATTTAGTGAACCTATGAATCAAAGAAAAAAGTATAATGTAAATAAGCAAATATTTAGAACTCAGCAATAACAAAAAACACCAAAATGTTTGAGGTGTGATCAAAACAGTACTTAAAGTAACATGTATAGCTATAAAAGCTTACATTTAAAATAAATATTTACAAGCAGGCATCTGAGCCTTCACCTTAAGAAGCTAGAACAAGAACAGTAAATAAAAGCCAAGGTAAGTAAATGAAAGGACATAAATATAAGATCAAAAACAATAAAATGGAAAACATAAAATAGAGAAAATGAAAATAGCCACAAGTTGGTAATGAAATTGATAAATTGCCAGCAAGAGTTATCAAAGGAAAGACAAATTCAAATTACCAATATCAGAAATCATAAAACAAATAATCAACCCATAGATCTTTTAGACTTAAAAGGTTAGAAAAGGATTGTTCTGAAATACATTATTTCAATTAGTTTGACGGCTTAGATGAATTAGGTAAAATGTAGGGAAAGAACAACCTTCTAAACATGACACAAAAAGAAACTGAAACATCCCATCTCTTTCCAAGTAATGAGCTATCCTTACTTGCAGATAACATGATAGTGTTAGAGAAAACCCTAAAGAATAACTTTGTAGGAATAAGAAGTAAATTTACAAGTTTATAGGACTAAAATGTCAAATAAAAAATGCAATTTCCTTTACATACATACTAGCAACAATGACAAATGGATTTTTTAATTAAAAGTCTGTGATGAAATCTGAAAACATAAATACTTATGAATAGATAAGGAAGATCCCTACATGAATAACAACTACAAAACTCTTCAAAAATAAATATTTTAAATACCTAACAGATATACTGTATTCAGGAATTAGAAAACCCAATGTTGCTCAGATGTTGTTAGTTCAAGATGATTTATGGATCTAACTTAAAATGAATAAAACTACAATATGCTCTTTTTGAGATGTGGACAATTTTCCTGCATGCTGATCTGCAAGGTGACTTTGAAACTTCCGCATCAAAGGTTATCTTCTATTTCTGTAAAACCTCAAATCTGGGTGGTCATGTGATCACTATGACAAATAGAATATGATGCAAGTGACATTGTTTCAGCTCCGGACACAGCCCTTAGCTGGCCGGACCCATTTACTTTCTACCACTGGGATCTCTGAGCACGATGTAAAAAGCCAGACTATCCTCTGGAGTGATCTTGTGTTCCTTCATCTAAAGGGATAGGAAGAGGACCCAATGCATCTCTTAAGGTCATCCCTTCCAATATGCTTTAAATGTGCATTAAGTTATCCTGCGTTTACATAAAATTCAGTTATCAGCTGAATAAGACAGCGACTTCAGTCCTTGCCACACAAAACAGAAGAAACACCCAGCCAACAACTGCCTGAATTCCTGACTCACAAAATTTTGAGATAAAATAAAATGAAGGTTGTTTGAAATCACAAAAACTGTGGAGCCCTGCACCATACATGAAGACAGGACGAGAATAAAAAGTGACACCTTAAAGTGTGGTGTTTCCATAACAACAATCTAAAGTGTTTGGAACTGGCTGTAGTATATAAAACCAAGGGCCTCCATGATATTGTAAGTAAAGGCTGAAAATAGACATAACTGTTTAGTAATTCTGTTACCTGTAGTAAGGTAGAAAATAAAAAATGTACTTAAATGAATAGGTGGATACGACTAAAATTTCCAAACAGAATATTGAAAGTTACAGCTGTTTATTATAGCATTGTATGTTATAATAAGTCAGATTTTTAAAATAATACTACTTAAAAGATTAACTGTTACATTTTCAGACAGAATTTACAAGAAACATAAAAGAGTCAGAACTTGTGGGTGTCAAAGATGAAAATGGTTTCCCTTTCCAGTCTCTGCAAAGAGCTAAGTACTCTAAAAGTAAGAGTGGTCATCAAATTAAAAGTCATTCTGAACTTGTGGGTGTAAAGACACTATGAATAAACTTCAGAAAAATTTAATGGTGGGTCACGTAACTATCTTAAACTAGACAAATTTAATTCCAAGGTTCTTAAGAGTATTATCTGACTGCACAGAGAGTTTCAGCTCAAGTCTGAGAAGGGGCAGTTTCAAAGATATTTGTGAATATGGTGCTTGCCTATTCCACAAAGTCTTTAAATAAATTACACAGAAGGAAGCACCATAGCCTTCCCTTTTGAACAGGAGCATCTATTTTAATTACCTATTCCTCCTTTTCTCCACTCTGTGCTGGGAATACAGGAGAAATGTCCTGTCTCAATAGATGTGTAATAGAGAAAATACATAATTTAAAATGTACACAATAGGACCTGCACCCAAGCATCCCCATCCACTCTCAGTTCTGGATATAGAGGTTGAGATCTTGAACTTCAAACAGATGCCAAGATAGGAT
This sequence comes from Homo sapiens, assembly GCF_000001405.40. Lineage (NCBI taxonomy): Eukaryota > Metazoa > Chordata > Mammalia > Primates > Hominidae > Homo > Homo sapiens. The sequence goes on along the minus strand of NC_000011.10, from coordinate 54,683,830 downwards.
GACTTCTTAATTGAGCTTGGAGCATCTAAATCCTGTCTTCCCACTTTGGTATCCCAAGAGATTTTCTATAGCATTTCTCATCTCTGAATTTCTCAACATGTATATAAAAGGATTCAACTTGGGTGTGATAACTGAATAAAACACAGTCAGGAATTTATCAATAGGAAAGTTTGAAACGGGTCTAACATATAAGAAAATACAGGGAACAAAAAACAAGATAACCATGATAAAGTGGGAGCTGCAGATAAACGGAGCTTTATGCCTCCCTTCCGGACTATAAGTTTTAAGGGAGTTTAGGATGACCCCATAGGAGATTAGTAGAAGGGTGAAGATGACCATACAGATTGCTCCACCATTGAAAACCACAGCGAGGCCTACGAAGTAGGTGTCAGTGCATTCCAGGTCCAATAAAGGGTATATGTTACAGAAAAAGTGATAAATGACATTGGGGCCACAGAAAGGGAGACTGTACACAACTAAAATTTGAAACACAGAATGCAGAAAACCTCCAGTCACAGCCACCACCAACAGAAGGATGCAAACCTGTCAATTCATGATGGTCAAATAGCGCAGTGGCTTACAGGTGGCCACGTAGCGATCATAGGCCATCACCACCAGAAGGAAGACGTCAGTATCACCAAACAAGTGCTCTATAAATAGCTGACCCATGCAAGCTGGGAAGGAAATAGTCTTTTTATCACAGAGTAAGTCTACAATCAATACAGGAGAAATGGTGGTGGAATACACAGCATCTATAAATGACAGGCAGGCAAGGAAGAAGTACACTGGGGAGCCCAAAAAGGGACTGGCAATAATAGACACCACAATGAGCAGGTTCCCCACCATAGTCACAATATATATGAGTAAAAACATGACAAATAATGCATTTTGCACATCAGGATACTGAGAGAAGCCCAGGAGGACAAATTCTGTAATATTGTTATTCTGCCTCATTTACCCTTCTTTAAGGCTTGTATCAGAGATGAGAGCTCAGGAGAACAAGACCTGTAATGAAATAGTGAACAGGAACATGCTTACATCCATTGTGTCGCAGAGCACCTTTTCATTGTTGTATCCTCAATAGTGATTTACACACAATAAACATGCAGTAAGTCTCTATTGTGTTTCTCATCCAAAGAGTCCATCTTCCCTTGACAATTCTATTTCTCCACAAAGATTTTCATTTCTGTGACAGGTAAAGGCTTCTACCTCTAAGTTTTAGTGAATATTCTATACAGAAGAAGTGTTAAAGTCCCAAAAGCCACTCATACATTTTATAACTTCTTATTTAAAATATTTTTCTTGGCACAGAATTCAGCTATGATGAATAGGCGACAGGTTCTTGGTCTCAAATGACTTCCTCTCTGCTGATGGTAACAAATTCTAAATAAATAATTGACATAGATTTAGTGCTTTGTGTTTGTATGTGTGGTATCTTTATAATATGATCTGTGCAGCACCAAGAATAACATCTTCTGAAATATATCACTCAGTACTCTGGCCTTGTACTATTAGACCTTCATTCCTTCATGCCTCAAAGTATGTTCAGTCTTTATTAGTCTTTCATTAAATGTCAGAAGACATGACTCTGAAATGTATAAATAGCTATATTATTTATCACATTGTTCCCTGTAGTGATTACTTGGTCTGACTCCTTGTCCAACTTATAAGGAGCTGTGATTCTCTCCATTTTGTCCTTGCCTATACCCCAATTTTTTCAACACTTACATACAATATCTTAATTTTAATTAATTTGAACTCAAGTGAACTAACTCATGACTATCACCAACTACCAAATATGCCATGTTTTTTTTTTCATGAATTCTTGAGATGAGCTAGGTAGTGAGAGAGGAGAAAATAGACACTGTAGAAAGAGGTACAGAACAGTAGGACATGGCTTTATTCATAACACTATTTAGATACCAAAAGTACTCAAAAATAGAATCTTAGCTATCAGATTCCAAGAAGAAGCATACTCTAAGAGAAATTCCAAATTCCATGTAAGAAGACATGGATTTGAGTCATTTTTTGAATGCAATTACAAGTCTGTCTCAATTTACTCACTGGAAAACAATGGGATTAAATTTGAGAAATTCAGAATCCTTTCTAATCAACTATCTACAGAACTATTAGTGCATCTCTCGTTTATGGTATTCTGCTGACAATTTTCTTTTTTTATAAATATATAATTAAATAAAAATTTTCCAAGCTCATGACTGTTACATGAAAAATGGTAGTCTGTGGGACAATGGGTTTTATTATTACAGTGAGTAGTGACTATAAGCTTCTCACTGAGTATGCACCTATTTAAGATCCAAGACATCCTCAAAGGGAAAGTGTAGCATGTTGTGAATAATGTGGACACTGGAGTCACATTTCTTCAGCTACAACCTCATGTTCACCATTTTTTATGAGACTTTGGGCCATTTACTAAAGCTCTCTGACCCTTACTTTCATCATTTGTAGAATGGGGATCCCAATAGTCATTACCTCTTAATTGCTTGATTTTCAGCAATTTTGAACTTAAGTGAACTACCTGTTGATTTATAAAAGAAAGTAAAGTGCCTAGAACACTGGCTGGCACCTAGTAAGGACTCAATAAATTATAGTTATTATCAGTGTTCTTGAATGCTTCACTTTGAAGATAGAACAAATCATGTGAATCTTTGTCAACTTGAAAAGATTTATAGACATAGTCTAGGTTAAAAAGAATAAAACACTCATAATTCAGGAAAACCTTTTGGGGCACACAATAAAATTGTATGTCTTAGGAATTACAAATTTAATTATGTATGAGTAGTGATTTTCTTTGTAATGAAATATACCTTAATGAGAAGCAAGAAGAATTCTAGTAAAAAAAAGTTGAACTGATCATCGGCAGGAGAGCTAAATGGTAGAAAATGAAAGAAAAAGGGGTCAAATCAGAAAAAAAGAGAAATTATAGTAAATACATTAATATTCACAGGAAATAAGATGATTAATTTCATAATTAAGTGAGACAAATTAGCTGGGCATGGTGGTACACACCTGCTATCCCACCTACTCAAGAGGCTGAGGCATGAGAATCACTTGAATCCAGGAGGCAGAGGCTGCAGTGAGCCAGGATCACACTACTGTCCTCCAGCTTGGGTGACCGAGTGAGACTATCTCAAAAAAAAAAAAAAAAAAAAAAGTGAGGCTAGTTTTCTGCTAAAAATCCTCTTCAGAAAAATTTATTTTAGTGAGGAAATACTGGAAGCACAACCTCCTGTGGGTCCCTGGGTGACTCAGGAGGCTTTGGGAATAGCCATAACAAATAGACATTGACTAGATCCTAGTTTAAAAAAAAAAAGAAAAGAAAAGACAATTCAAAAAGAAAAATAAAAACAACATTGATCTCTTAGTGTCTCTAGATCTGACAGTTAAGGACAAACTTAAAGAAAAAAAACAATGGGACAAGTAGAAATACAAACCCAAACTTTGTGATATTCACTGCTGAGGAAAACTACAGAATTACTAAATCTCAAATGTAGACAAGATGATTCCGTTCACATAGATCTGACAGTGGAGGAGGATGTGCGCAGAGAGAGTTTGAGCTTTCTTAGAAGCCATTTGTGATAAACGTTCCACATGTCTCATTCACATTACCACTTCCAGCTGATTCTAGAGTTCTGTCATTGCTGAAGTTATAGACTAACAAAGGCACATCTGTTGAAGAACTCAAGGGTATTATATAACCTATAGCCCATTCTCTTTTTTTCACATCTTACTTGCTGCAAGATTTATTTCCTTTTCACTCTTTCATCATCTATGATAAATTTCACCAGGATAAATCTTCTCTTGGGCAGTTTAGATGTTTACTTGTAAAAACCAGGATATGTAAACTATCCTCTTTAGCTTAAGTCATCAAAGATTTAATACTTTAAAAACTGAAAGACAATATTACTAGGCACTCAACATAAACAACTAAGTTAACACTTTTCTAGACAAAAAAACTTAAGCTTCCTAAGAACGTGACTTTTTCAAATGATAAAATCCCATAGTAACAAAAATAATCCCTTATAGATAAAATTTATAAAACAATACGGTTTTGTAAATCTCTCTAAAGAATAGTAGGCTCAATACTTTCCTGAACTTGTATATGCTGAGATAATTTTTAGATTCACACATAAAAGACCATATCATGCTTCCAGAACATATTAGGCATTGATTTCTTTACACTCTAACACACTTGATATAGTCTGCAATTTTAAATTTTCCAATCAAATATATCTAAAAATAATTCTATACCTATGTTAATGTATCACATAATAAAATATTCTACATACTAGATTATAAATCTATTGGTTTACTTATTTTATGTGTAACATGGAACATGTTTCTCCTGTTACTTGGCAAATTAGAAAATAAACACTTATAAGGCTGTATATGAAAACCAAATGTACTTGTATACTCTGATTAATGTCTGTGTTTTGCTTGCTTAATTTTCCCAATTAAGATTCCTCCAATGAAAACATGTGAGATTTAAGACTTTAGCTATATTTCAAAACATTACAGGAAGTTTCAGTGAGTATCCCTTGTCAATTGCTTCAAAAACTCACATCTTGGGTCTTGTCCTTGGTCCAGAAAAGCAATGCTTCTTTCACTGAGGGTTACTGAAGATATCTCATGCATCTATTTGTGTTCTTAAAACATGTGAAAAATGTATGGCTGGTCCATGGATCTAGAAATATCTCCTAGTGGGACAATTTCCATATTTCCACACAGGCTTTCTATTATCTCAATCTTTCAGAAAAGTATAAAGGTATCCAGAGCAGATGTCCAAAATATAGACACTTAAACATAATGCTAGAACTACTGTACAAAGGTAGTTAAAATTTTACATCCCCTGGAAAATTTCTTCATAGAAAAACAGAGATAATTTCTTTGCATGACTATATAAATATTGACCTAATTAGTGGAAATTAACCTGGACACTCCCATTATCTGGTGACCCAACTAAGCAAACCAAAAATTTGTCAACACCAAAATTTGTTTCTTGAATTTGTAACTTCTCTGTCAATAATGGTGAAGCAACCATGAATATTTTACTGTGATTAAGGATTTATAACATTTATGTGCCCAGCTATTTAACTCTATAGCTAAGAAGGAAATGCTGGGATTTAACTGTGAAAAAGCCAACGACAAAGCTTTCTTATGGGCAGAAGCAGAACTCTTGTCTTTCAGTCATTCAAGTAGTATATTCCTAAGACCACTTCTTTTCTGATTAAAGGCATGTCTCTATATCTCCCAAATCTCATTCCAGGAAATTGAGAGCTTCTACAAATTTTTACAAACAAAGGTGGATGAAATAAAACAACCCATCTAGAGGACTAGATACCAGTTGAAGACATACTGTAGCTTGGGCAGAAATTTTAATGTTTAACCTATCTATCTCATAGGTTATTCTATCAGGAAAAGAAATCTTCCATTTATATGTGTACACATAGTCTATGACTTTTACATCATCAATATTTGTAATTAAAAAGACCATAAGGCATTTATAGATTAATTAGAATATTTGGAACAAATTCAAATGAACACTTTTCTTCTAGAGAACAATCCCTAGGGGAAAAATACTTGGTTCTTGCCAAGGAAAAAGACTTGGCTTTTGTCAAGAAAGAGTAACTGAATGCCAAGTAATGTGAAAATCTTGTAATGTGAAAAAAGAAATGCTAAAGTAAATTGAACAATAAATTATGTTTTACATTATGAAATACTGAGGTAAAGCAAGTAATATTTAAGCCAGAATGACGAGGAAACCAGGCCCAGATTCTCTTACCTAATCACATCCTCAGCAAGGAGGACCTAACCTTGTTGATAGAAAGTCTGTGCCTAAGAAGCCTGAGACTTACAGGCAGAGAGCCTCAGAACTGAAGTTGAGATTCTAACACTTAGAAAAAGAGGTAATCATAGTTGTACAGTTTTAGGTTGGAGTAGAGGTTTTTAATCAAAACCTGAATCTGTGTCATATGCAACCATAATGATAATTAGTCCATTAATTCAATCCTCTAATGTATCAGTCCATTTTTATACTACTATAAAGAACTGCCTGAGACTGGGTAATTTATAAAGGAAAGAGGTTTAATTGACTCACAATTCAGCATGTCTTCGGAGGCCTCAGGAAACTTACAATTATAGCCGAAGGCAAAGGGAAAGCAAGGCACCATCCTCACAGGGCGGCAGGAAGGATAAGTGCTGAACAAAGGGAAAAGAGCCCCTTTATAAAACCATCAGATCTCATGAAAACTCACTATCACGAGAACAGCATGGGGGAAACTACCCCCATGATTCAATTACCTCCACATTTTCTCTCCCTAGACATGTGGGGATTATGGGGATTACAATTCAAGATGAGATTTGGGTGGGGACACAAAGTCTAATCATATCATTCTACCCTGGGCCCCTCCCAAATCTCATGTCCCTTTCGTCTTTTAAAGAGACAGTTATGCCTTCCTAACAGTCCCTCGAAGTCTTAATTCATTCCAGCATTAGCCCAAACTCCAAGTCCAAAGTCTCATCTGAAACAAGGCAAAAAATGTACTTCAAAGCATTTAAAAAACTAACAAGGAACAAAGAAGGATATGGTGGCATGTTTCTCTGTCCTAGCTACTTGGAAGGCTGAGGTCGGAGTATCACTTCAGCCTAAGAGTTTGAGTTTAGCATGGGCAATATAGCAAGAGAGAAGAGAAGGGAAGGTAAAGGAGAAGGGAAGGGAGAAGGGAAGGGGGAATTTAAGTCTTTAATCCATTTTAATTAGATTTTTGTATTTGGAGAAAAATAGAGATCTGGTTTCATTCTCCTACATATGGACATCCAGTTTCCCCAGCATTATTTGTTGAAGAAACTTTTCCCCAGCATATGTCTTTTCCCTAGCATATGTTCTTGGCACTTTTGTTGAAAATGAGTTCACTGTAGGTGTGTGGAAGGGAAGGGGGAAGGGGGAGAGGGAAGGGGGAAGGAAGGGGGAAGTGGAAGAGGGAAGGGTGGGGGAAGGGAGGGGAAAGGGAGGGGGAAGGGATGGGGAAGAGAGTGGGGAGGGGAGGGCAGGGGAGGTTTAATCAACACCATTAACAAATTTGACCAATTTACATAAGAGAACAATGTGCCCAAAAGCTGCAGAATATACATTCTTTTTTAAAATTTTAATTTTTAATTTTTGTGGGTGCATAGTACTTCTGTATATTTATGTGGTACATTACATGTTTGGATACAGGCATGCAATGCATAATAATCATATCATGAAAAATGGGGTATCCATCCCCTGAAGCATTTACCCTTTGCATTACAAACAATCCACTTATACTCTTTTAGTTATTTTTAAATGTACAATTAACATATTATCGACCATAGTCACCCTTTTGTGCTATCAAGTAGTAAGTCTTATATACTCTTTCTGATTATTTTTCTACCCATTAACTATCCTTATCTCCCACCCTCTCACCTCCCCGCTACCCTTCCTAGCTTCTAGTAACCATCCTTCTATTCCCCACTTCCCTAAGTTCAATTGTTTTGAATTTTAGATCCCACAAATAAGTTAGATATCATGATGTTTGTCTTTCTTTGACTGGATTACTTCACATAATATAATGACCTCGGGTCTTATCCATGTTGTTGCAAATGAGTGAATCTCATTCTTTTTAATGGCTGAATAGTACTCCATTATATATAGGTACCACATTTTCTTTATCCATTTATCTGTCAATGGACACATAGGTTGCTTCCAAATTTTGGCTATTGTGAATAGTGCTGAAACAAACATGGGAAGGCCAATATCTCTTTGATATACTAACTTCCTTTCTTTTAGGTATACATTGAGCAAAAGGATTACTGGATCATATAGTTGCTCAATTTTTAGTTTTCTGAAAAACCTTCAAACTGTTTTCTATAGTAGTTGTACTAATGTACATTCCCATGAACAGTGTATTAGGATTCCCTAATATTTTGCTCACTTTTTCATTGGCTTATTAGATTTTTTTTTTTTAGATGGAGTTTCACTCTTCTTGCCTAGGCTGGAGTGCAATGGCACGATCTCAGCCCACCACAACCTCTGCCTCCTGGGTTCAAGTGATTCTCCTGTATCAGCCTCCTGTGTAGCAGGGATTACAGACATGCTCCACCACACCTGGATAATTTTTATATTTTTAGTAGAGATGGGTTTTCACCATGTTAACCAAGCTGGTCTTGAACTCCTGGCCTCAGGTGATCCTCCCACCTCGGCCTCCCAAAGTGCCAGGATTACAGGTGTGAGCCACCATGCCCAGCCAGATGTTTTCCTATAGAATTGTTTGAGCTCCTTCTACATTGTCATTATTAATTCTTTGTCAGATGGGCAGTTTGCAAATATCTTCACCCATTCTATGAGTTGTCTCTTCACTTTGTTGGTTGTATCCTTTGCTGTGTGGAAGCTTTTTAACTTGACGTGATCCCATTTGTCCATTTTTACTTGTGCCTTTCTGTGCTAGGGAAATATTGCTCAAGAAATCTTTGCACAGACCAATGTCCAAGAGAGTTTCCCCAACCCCAATGTTATCTTGTAGTCGTTTCATATTTTGAGGTCTTACATTTAAGTATTTAATCCATTTTAATTAGATTTTTTTGTATTTAGAGAAAAATAGAGATCTAGTTTCATTCTCCTGCATACGGACATCCAGTTTTCCCAACATTATTTGTTGAAGAAACTGTCTTTTCCCCAGCATATGTTCTTGGCACCTTTGTTGAAAATGAGTTCACTGTGGGTGTGTGGATTTGTTTCTGGGTTCTCCATTCTGTTCCATTGGTCTATGTGTCTGTTTTTAGGCCAGTACTGTCCCATTTTGCTTACTATATCTCTGTAGCATAATATGAAGTCAGGTGACATGATTCCTCCAATTTGGTTCTGTTGCTCAGGATAGCTTTGGCTAGTCTGCATCTTTAGTGATTCCATGTAAATTTTAGGTTAGATTTTTTTCTATTTTTGTGAAGAACGTCATTGGCATTTTGATAGGGATTGTATTCAATCTGTAGGTTGCTTTGGGTAGTATGGACATTTTAACAAAATTGTTTCTTCCAATCCATGAACATCAAATATTTTCCCTTTTTTGTGTGTGTCCTCTTCAGTTTCCTTAATCAGTGTTTACGGTTTTCATTATAGAGATCTTCCACTTTTTGGATTAATTAATTCCTAGGTATTTAATTTAATGTGTTGCTTTTTTAAATGGGATTATTTGTTCTTTTTCACATTGCTCACTGTTGGAATATAGACATTCTACTGACTTTTATATGTTGATTTGGTGTCCTGAAACTATGGAATTTATTATTTCTAACAGTTTCGTTGTGGTTATTCCAAATATAAGATCATATCATCAGCAAACGAAGATAATTTGACTTCTTCCTTTCCAATTTGTATTCCCTTTATATCTTTCTTTTGTCTAATTGCCCTAGCTAGGACTTCCAGTACTATGCTGAATAACAGTGGGGACAGTGGGCATCTTCGTGTTCCAGATCTGAGAAGAAAGGTTTTCCATGTTTCACCATTCACTATGAGACTAACTGTGGATCTCCCATATATAGCTTTTATTATGTTGAGGTATGTTCCTTTTACCCCCAGCTTTTTCAGGGCTTAATCATGAAGGGATGTTGAATTTTATCAAATACTTTTTCAGCATCAGTTGAAATGATCATATGGTTTTTACCCTTCATTCTGTTGATATGATGTATCACACTGATTGATTTACGTATGCTGAAATCCCAGGGATAAATCCCACTTGGTCATGATGAATGATGTATTGCTGAATTCAGTTTGCTAGTATTTTGTTGAGGGTTTTTGCTTCAATATTCATCAGAGATATTGGCCTGTAGTTTTGTTTGTTGTTGTTGTTGTTGATATATCCTTGTCTGCTTTCAGTATCAGGGTAATAGTGGCCTCAGAATAAGTTTGAAAATATTCCTTACTGCTCTATTCTTCAGAATAGTTTGAGTTGGATTGGTATTAATTCTTCTTTAAATGTTTAGAAGAATTCAGATGTGAAGCTATCAGCTCCTGGGCTTTTCTTTACTTCGAGGCTGCTCAGGTTTTGGATTTCTTCCTCATTCAATCTTGGTAGGTTATTTGCATCTAGGAATTTGTCCATTTCTTATAGATTTTCCAATTTATCGGTATATAATTGTTCATAGTAGCCACTAATGATCCTTCGAATATATGCAGTATCAATTTTAATGTCTCCTTTTTCATTTCTGATTTTATTCATTTGGATATTTTTCCTTAGTTACTCTGGTTAAGTTCTATCAATTTTGTTTAACTTTAAAAAAAAACCTTTTGTTTCATTGATATTTTGTATTTTTATTTATTTATTTCTGCTGTGATCCTTATCGTTTCTTTTCCTCTAGTTTTTGGCTTTGTTTCCTCTTGCTTTTCTACTCCTTTAAGATGCTTTGTTCGCTTGTTTATTTGAAGGGGTTTTTTTGGTGTAAGCACTTATAGCTATAAACTTCCATCTGAGTAATGCTTTCTCTGTATTTGATAGATTTTGGTATATTTGTTTCCATTGTTTGTTTCAAGAAATTTATCAGTTTTCTTCTTTTTTTTAAGTCAGTATAATTTATTTTTATAATAATCTACATTCACGAGAATGCAGTAAGATTCTGCACTGATATATTGCTGCTGAGAGGTAATTGATATAAATCTAGAAAACCATTTGAAAGTAGGAACTGTCTTTCAAATGCCCCTCCCTTTAAAAAGACAAAGGAAATACCATAAAATTAATTTCTTCATGGACCCCACTGATCATTCAGGAGCATTTTGTTTAATTTCCATGTACTAGTATCGTTTACAAAATTTCTCGTTATTAATTTCTAGTTTTATTTCCTTGTTGTCAGAGAAGATAATTGATATTATTTCAAATTTTTTGAATGTTTTTGGACTTGTTTTGTAACCTAACATATGGTCTATCCTTGAGAATGATTTGTGTGCTAAGGAAAAGAAAATGTTTCCTACAGCCACTGGATGAAATGTTCTGTAAATACTTATTATATCCATTTAGTCTTTATTGCAGATTAAGTCTGAAGTTTCTTTGATAATATTCTATCCGAAAGACCTTGGATACAAAAAAAATTGATAAATTGAACTTCATCAAAATAAAAACTTTGGCTCATAAAAACTGTTAATAATATGAAAAAGTGAGCCATGCATTGTGGGTATGCTTACAATACATATGTCTGAATAAGAACTTGTATCTAGAATGTATTAAGAAGTTTTACAAGTCAAGACAAGCCACATGATTTTTTTAATGTTCAACAGACTAGCCAAGAATTATATGCTCAATATCTTTAGTCATCCAGGAAATGCAAATTAAAACCAATCCAATTGTTACTGATGATGCGGAATAACTGGAACTCTCATATGTCCCTTGTGGAAGTATATAATTTTACAACTGTGTTGAAAAGCTTTTTGACTGTTATAAAATTTAGTCTTTACCCTTCCTCCTAACTAGCATATATCTACAATACTACAACCCATGTGTCTTGGATAAAGACATGTTAATGGCCCAAAATAAATCCCTGTATGGGCAGATATAAACACACGTGTGGTCCAGTGCAGCTCAGTGTATGGCAAGATATAGCCCCATGTGTAGACAGACACAGAACTGGGTGATATCATATGCAAAACTTATATAAATGCAATCATAAAAGTAATCAAATACTGATCTTTGTGTTTTCACATACAGACCTGTGTGTTCATATATAGACTTTGTGTTCAGTTAGATACAGACCCAAAAGTATCACTGGATACACACCTATATATGGTCATACAGACATATATGCTGCTGGATACAGATACGAGTGCACAGTCAAATACAGACTCCTATATAATGACATTCAAACCTGTATATAGTCAGATACAAGTCTATGTGTGTCTGAATACAGACCTATGCCCATGGCTTTAAAGACTGTGCCAGGAAATGCCAGGAAAAGATGCTGAGTCCTCTCTTGTCAGGTCATTGAAAATATTAATCAAATGTAAATAAGAGAATTCCCTTTTTAAATGAAAAAGTCAAAAAGCAAGGTATACATAGACTATGAAGATGTTTACAACTTTTTTTAATCTTTAAGTTCAGTGGTACATGTGAAGGTTTGTTATGGGGATGTCATGGAGGTGTGTCATTTTAGAAGTCTGACATAGGGAGTCGTTGTATGGATTATTTCCTCACCTAGGTATTAAGCCTAGTACCCATCAGTATTTCTGTGATCCTCTCACACCTCCCACCCTCCATCGTGTCTGTTGTTCCTCTCTATGTGTTCGTGTGTTCTCATCATTTAGCTCCCACTTAGAAGTGAGACCATGTGGTGTTTGGTTTTCTGTTCCTGTGCTAATTTGCTAAGGATAATGGCCTCTGGCTCCATCCATGTTTCTGCAAAGGACATGGTCTTATTCTTTTTTATGGCTGAATAGTATTCCATGCTGTGTATGTACCACATTTTCTTTATCCAATCTACCAATGATGGGCCTTTATGTTGATTTTGTGTCTTTGCAATTAATAGTGTTGCAATGGGCATGTGCATGCATGTGTCTTTATGTTAGAATGCTTTATATTTTTTTGGGTATATAACCAGTAATGGGGTTGCTGGCTCAAATAGTAGCTCCATTTTTAGGTCTTTGAGGAATCGCCACATGGTTTTCCACAACGGTTGAACTAATTTACACACCAATCAACACTGTGTAAGCATTCCTTTTTCTCTGCAACCTCCCCAGCACCTGTAATTTTTTTACTTTTTAATAATAGCCATTCTGACTGGTGTGAGATAGTATCTCACTGTGGTTTTGATTTGCATTTCTCTAATGATCACTAATATTGACCTTTTTTCATATGCTTGTTGACAGCATGTATGTCTTGTTTTGAAAAGTGTCTGTGCATGTCCTTTGTCCACTTTTTGATTGAGATTTATTGATCAAGACTTCACAATAAGTGTCTTATTCTAGGTAGGAAAATGAGATATTATAATACACCATTTTGCTCAAAATAAACAAGTAAGGTCATGAAACCCTAAATATAATTTTATGAAAAGTATTCAAGCTTTACAAAACAGTCCTAAGGTTTATTAGGAAAAATAAATATTTAGAAATTGCAAGAAAGCTGAAAAAGATTAGTAATTAGGGGAGACTATCTCTATTTAAATATTTAAAATCCTTGACCACTGGGATAGTGTGTTGGTGAAAAAAAAAACCAAAAAACAAGAAAAGAAGAAACAGAAGAAGTGTCCTGAGATTGAACCTTCTAGATGTAAAGAATTTGACATACTAAAAGGATAAATTCCAAATTGCTATTGAAAATAATTAATGGATTAGATTGGCAGGTTATTTTACCTGTTTAGGAAAACTAGACTTCAATATTTTCTTATGATAAAGAAAAATAAATTTTCCATTGGCTGGAAAACAAATGTTTTTGTAAAGTGATTTTTTTAATGGGGACGACTGGAGGCAGGAGAGGGGGAGATGGGCAAGGGCTCAAAAACTACCTGCTGGGTACCATGCTCACTACCTGGGCGTGGGTGCAATCATACTTCAAACCTCAGCATCATGCAACATACCTTTGTAACAAACCTGCACATGTGCCTCCTGATTCTAAAACAAAATCTGAAAAGAAAAATAAATAAATAAAATAAGGTGTTAAAAAGTGTAAAGTCACTAGAGGGAAATGGAATTTACTGAGGTGTGATGTGACCGAAAAAAATAAGAAGTAAAAAAGTTAAGGTAAAACATTTCTATATAAAAACATCCATAATTGTAGCATCAATAACATAGTAAGGTAAATATTTATAGCAAATATCAAAGAATGGTATGAACATATATGCATCTTTGATACGGAAAAATTTTATCAGAATGTATCAGTAAAAATTCTACCTCCAATAGATTAAGAACTCAAGGAAACAAGTAATTAACAAAGTTTATGGAGTGGGCTCTATGTGTCATACATTGTGCAAGGAACAGAGAGCACAAAGAGAAGTAACTTTCCCTGACTTCGGGGAACTTTCAGACCAATAAACATAAACAGACAATTAACCAAGATTTTTTTATTTCATCACTTAATAGAACCATACAAATTAGAAAATTAATTACATGTCCAAAAATGCAGGACCTAGTTATATAAACTCTGATACTACCAAATGCTCAATACTATTTGGAGAATGGTGCTATGTTTTGGAAGAGCTTGGATTATGTAAGAAATCTCCATGTAATAATAATAAGGATAAAAATAATAATACAAAGTGAACTCACATAGTGTGATTTACCAGGGAAATTGACATGTTTTTCCCTAGCCTTAGTCCCTCATGAATCCAGAGTACAGAGGAGAAGCAGGAACAATGAGTTTCTTTGATTACATGTTTTCTACCTGTAGTCAGGGGCAGATAAAATTTTATTTCAAGCCTGATTCAAAAGGAATTTTCACACAGATTTTTATGAATTAAGTGTCTTTCCAACGAAACAATATGTTTTAGTCCTTTTTTTACCTAATAATCTGCATTCTATCAATAAAGTAAGAATGGAAGCATCATATATTGCCAGCATCTTTTTTTCTTTTTCTTTCTTTTTTTTTTCTCAGCGTTGCTCTGTCACCCACGTTAGAGTGCAGTAGCGTGATCATGGTTCACTGCAGTCTTGACCTCCTGGGCTCAAAAAATCGTCCAACCTCAGCCTCCTGAGCAGCTGGAACCACTGACATGCACCACCACAACTGTCTATCTTCCTTGAAAATGGTGTATTCCAAAATATTTACTATCTGGCTCTGCATTCCATATTTGAAGTTCATAGATTATGGATTACGCTAATTTTACATATGAAAAGCAGAGCCTGGCTGTTTTTTAGAAGGCCATGAGAAGGGGGTATTGAAAATAGCAGAGATATTATCAGATATTCTAAACATCTGGGAAGATCAATGGATCATTTTTACATAAATATAGCACCAAATCAAGCTGCTTCACCTGAGGACTTAATATGATTTCTCAATTGGAGAAAAAAGTAAGATTTAGTTATTTTTCTGCATGTCTCCCTTTTTCATTCAGATTCTTTTAGTATACTGTCTCCTTATGTATAATACTGAAGGAAGCACTATTCCTCTTCAACCTTAATATGCTAGCAATATGAACAAAATTATATATAAATAGTATCTTACAAATACAAAATAAAATATATACTTCAAATATTAATGTGGTCTGTATTTGTGTGGGGAGGAGTAAATGAAATTTTTATGTCTTATTTCTTAATTCATTCTTCTGAAATCTGTAATGAGCACTATTAATTCCAAAAAGGGATTAACTTTATTTAAAAGAAAAACATGAGAAAAACTTTCATAAACTTAAATAAATTTATAGTATTAATAACATAAATTTATCATCTCGAGAGCCATTCTACAAACAAAAAGTGAACATATATTTTTCCAATAAATTATTAAAATTTTCTAAATATATTTTGATTATTGCAAGTATTCATGTAATAAATGATTTTCACTGCATACTAGTTATTAAACCTGAGGAAAATTTCACTGCCATTAAATAATCACAAATGGCTTTCCTGGAGGGAGCAACTCTTCACTGAAAATAGATGATACATTTGTCTGCCACCTCATTTTCTTTTTCTAGTCCAGAGCTTCTTCATAGCATTTTTCATCTCTGCATTTCTTAAAGTATAGATTAGAGGGTTCAACATAGGTGTGATAACAGTGTAAAACACAGTCAAGGATTTATCAATGGGTAAGGTCAAAGGAGGTCTCACATACATGAAAATACAAGGGACAAAGAAGAGGATCACCACAGTGATATGGGAGCCACAGGTGGATAAGGCTTTGTGCCTCCCTTCCTGACTAAGATTCTTCAGGGAGTGCAGAATGACCCCATAGGAGAAGAGTAAGAGCATAAAGATGACCACACAGATTGCCCCATCATTGGCAACCACAGTGAGGCCAGTAACATAGGTGTCAGTGCAGGCAAGTTTTAATAAAGGGTACATGTCACAGATGAAATGGTCAATGACATTGGGGCCACAGAAGGGAAGGTTGTAAACAAAAAGAAGTTGAACTACAGCATGCAAGAAACCTCCAGCCCAGGCCAACAGCAGCAGTAGAATGCACACCCGTTGGTTCATGATGGTCAAATAATGCAGGGGTTTGCAGATGGTCACGTAGCCATCATAGGCCATGACAACAAGGAGTAAAATCTCAGCACCCCCAAATAGGTGTCCTATAAAAATCTGGGTAATCAAGCTTGGAACGAAATGGTTTTCTTCTCATAGAGTAAGTCTATAATCATATTTGGGGTAACTGTAGTAGAATGAACAGCATCCATAAATGATAAGTAGCCAAGGAAGAAGTACATGGGGCATCCAAAGTTGGGCTGACCACCACAGTCACAACAATGAATATGTTGCCTACCATTGTCACAACGTAGATGAGCAAGAACACAAGAAATAATATTTTCTGTCCCTGGGGGCTCTGAGTGAGCCCCACAAGGACAAACTCAGTCACATTTTTCCTTTGCTCCATATGCCTTTCTGTATGTCCTTATTCCAGTTGAACACAGGACAAAATTACTTAAAAATATAATTGTTACTAGTAGCTTCATTAAATTTTAGGATAATTTGTTTATTCATTCAACAAATAGGTGTTATGAGTTATTATGTTCCAGAATTGCAAGACATTATAAAAATATAAGGCTGATTAAAGCATGGTCCCCAACCTCAGCAATCTTACAAATTAATTGAGAGAGAAATAAGTAATTTGGGATGTATATGGGAAAAGGACAGTTTATTAAATAAAAGAGTTTGCCAAAACTAGTTTTACATCTGGAAGATCATAAAATTATACATATAGCTAATACCATAAACAAAAATAAATACAAATGAATTAAAGATTTAATATAAAACTAAAGCTAGATTTTCTTTATATTTACTTTCCAGTTAATAAAGGAGATGACTTTCTACATTCTCTGGATGGGAGAATCTTAAAAATTGAAATCCAAAATAAACATATTTGACAATTTCAAAATTGTTTAAGAATTTGGGAAAATAATACCATTTAAAAATATTTATAATTTTGAGGGCACAGAGTTAATATTTAAAATAGAAAGAGTGCTCTAAGCAATTAATAAATAAGAGACAAACCAATAGCAAACTGGGCAAATGATAGAAACCAGCAATTTAAAAAGAAACAGTACATTAACGTGGCCAAATATAATAGTGTGCTGAAGTTCACCTATAAATAGAAAAATACAAAATATAAAACAAATATCACCTTATATTCATGAAACTGACAAAAACGTTTTAAAAGTGATAGTAGCTATAGCTAGCAAAAATAAAAAAGGGTATTTTCTTGCACTGATAGGGAAAATATGGATTTTATAATATTTTTGGAACAAAAGTTAGCAATCTCTAATGAAAGTAACAATATCTTTCAACACAACTGCTCCCTTCAAAAGCTACCCCATAGAAATTAGAGCCCTAGAACATAAGGACAGATGCATGGCATGTTTTTGTGACATTATTTATAATGGCACTAAACAAACAAAAAATATGGAATACAGATATTTAAAACAATTAATTGCAGCCATTTCAGTATAATAATATGATTCAGCAAACAAAATAAAAATACTATACATGTATCCATTTATAAGTGTTTGCATATGACTATATGAGCATGGGAAAATAACGAAGGATATATGTTTTTTGTTGTAAGCAGGGTTTACATTTGCATTGGTGATGTGGGGGAGAGGAGAGAAGTTGTGTGTGAAAGAATAAAACTAACGAAGAGGAGAGGAAGGAAGGAAAGAAGGAAGGAAGATGGAGGAAGATGGAATAAAAGAGGGAGGGAAAGAAATAGGGGAGAAGGAAGGGAGGGAGGGAGGGAAGAGAGAGTTAGAGGAAAAGAAGGCTTCACACACACACACACACACAAAACTATATCATACGTAGTGACAATATTCACTAGCCCAGCTATCTCCTAAAATAATCCTACTAATGACAACTAATCGCTAAGTCTCTGTTGACATTACTTCAATCTAACCTGATAAATAATGTCCCATCTGTTTTTCAAATACACAGATTGTCTGTGTTGCTAACAATGGCCAACCTCTCTAGAGGTTGCACTAGATTCCGTGCTCTTTACCACTCTTAAGAACAGTGTTCCTTCAATTTTCTCCATTTCGAATGTCAACAATTTTCCTCCCTATATTGCATCCTTCTTCCAGCATATTTGTATGATCTATCCCCACGTTTAAAAATATATTTATACCCCTGGACAGCATATCTCTTTCAAGCAACCACCCCATCTTGATTCTCTGTTATTCTTTCTAAATAACACTTTCACTTTACTAAATCAAGTGGTCAATTTCAATACTCTTCTTACTTGACCTATCATTCCTATGAATTGAAGTAACACCTTGCTTACTTTAGTCTTACCTTGGGTTCTTGAAAGTCACTCATTCCACTTCTACAGATGCTATATCATCTAATTTTTGGCATATTAATCAATGCATAGAGAACACACTGCTTGATCCTATAAAGAGATTTACAAATACCTGCCCATTAAAATATCCCCCAAATGGTTACATTTGAAATTAGTTTCTAAGAACACTGATGTAGAGAAAGTAAATTTTTTCTGTTATTTAATGTTGAAATATCCAAAAAAGTATTACAGAATTGAGTCAATTCACATAAAGTTTAGCAATCATGAAGATCCACTAATGTGGTTTATTATCAGAATCACTTAGAGAACTATTAAAAGACAGAATTCCCACATCATCAGTGTTACTGCATAATGTAAAGCCTAGTGCAGAATCTCACACATAAATACCTTCCTGGGTATCTGCATAAGAAGACAGTAATTCATTCCGGGTTCTGATGATGGTACCTTCCCTCTTGTCCTAAAAAAATAACAGCTGTGTACACTGACACCATCTGTGTGAACACAGAGAGTAAAACAACACATGAATCATCACTGGACCTTGAAATGCTTCCATGTGATCAACGTTTTCCATGCTTGTTGAAAGTTTGATTTATATCAGTCTTTCAGGGGGAAAAAAGGTTACCTTTTAACTTATTGAGATTTTCAAAATGAATATCAAGAATGTTCTGTAACCTAAAGAAGCCTCAATCTTGATTGTGAACTGAGACCCAAAATCTTCACTGTTGGCAAAATTTGTCCTAATAACAAACACATGTTATATAAATACTTTTTTATTTTTTATTTTAATGGATACATTATAATTGTATATATTTATGGGGTATACATGATATTTTGACAAAAGCACACAACATGTAATGATCATATCTGGGTAATTGGGATATCCATCACCTCAAACATTTATCATTTCTTTATGTTGAGAAAATTCTAAACTTTCTCTTCTAGCTGTTTTGAAATACAGTCAACTATAAACTATAGTTGCCCTATCATGATCATATTCTTCCTACCTAACTGTATTTCTGTATATATTAATCATCAACTCCTCTTCATCTGCTCTCCTCACTAGCCTTCCCATCCTCCGGTAACCACCATTCTATTCACTACCATCATGAGGTCAATTTTTTATCTCCCACATGAGTGAACACCTGCAATATTTGCCTTTCTGTGCCTGCCTCATTTTATTTAATATAATATCCTCTGGTTCCATCCACATTGCTGCAAATGGCAGAATTTTATCCTTTTTATTACATTATCTCACCCCAGTTAAAATGGCTATTATAAAAATAACAGAAAATAAATGCTGATGAGGATGTAGAGAAAGGGGAATGATCATAATCTGTTGGTAGGAATGTAAATTAATACAGCCACTATGGAAAACAGTATGGAGGTTCCTCAGAAAATTAAAAATAGAACTACCATATATCTATCAATCCCATTGGTAGTTATACATCCAAAAGAAATGAAATCGGTATATCAAAGAGATAGCTACATTCCAATAATTTGTGGAGCACTATTCACAATAGCCAAGATATGGAATCAACCCAAGTGTTCATCAAAAGATGAATAGGTTAAATAAGCATTTCGAAGTTAAGAAAAAACTTGAATCTGTGGGAGAGAGAATTGTGACTTTTTACTATAAATATTTGTATTTATACCAATAAAAGTAAAATAATGAAATAGCCTTTACAACACATTGATCTTCAATCAGTTATATGAACCTGTATTCATGCCACATAGTTGAACCTTGGGTAATATGAAGGATGGAGAATAATTTTCATCCTTATTTTATCATGTTTGAGTCTGTCATTTTAATTCCTAAACAATCAGTCATGTGAATACTGCTATAAACAAATACTCTTCAAAATAAGGGCAGAAGTCTGTGGATACTTTATCCACATTTGAACTGCAGCACATATTGTTGAGTCATTCAACTGGTGCATCTCCAAAGGTGATTCTTCTCTAATTAAATTCATTGGGACCTTTATCATAATTCTGAGGGTAGGCTCTGTATCTCCGGAGATGCCACAGGGATAATAACTATGTATAACAAGATTTATAGAATCATGTCCTCTAGGGAAAAAATTACAAAAGGATACCAAAGTCAAATCACCAAAAGGAAACAGTCCAGTCTGAATATAAACGAAATATATAAAACCTAGTATTTAAGTCATGACCTGCAAAATAGACAAATCTGTTGAGTGTATAGTCACAGACAAGCTTCATTAAGGGGTCCATGTCACAGACAAAACGACCAATGACATTGGGGTCATAAGATGGGAGCCCATGAATAAGGCCAAGTTGAATTACTGTGTGCAAAAATCCTCCAGCCCAGGGCACCACCAGCAGCACAACACACAGCCATTGCTTCATGACAACCAAATACTGCAAGGACTTTCAGATGGCCCTATAGTTGTCTAGGCCATCAGCAACAGAAGGAAGACCTGAGATCTACCAAGAAAAAAAAATGTGCTTTGAAGAGCTGGGTACTGGGTCATACAACATTGGAAAGAGAATTGCATGTTTGAGTACGAAGTGGTTGTGCATAGTCTTATAGTCCATGAAAAGGCCAATTAGTTTTAGAGTAAATTTCATTAATCAGATACCTTACTTTATACCAGTCAATTTATCTCAGCATTTCTAAGTGACTGCAAGACCTTTCATGTGGGAAAAAAAATGGTAAAAATTAAAATAAAAGGAGAACATGCAGAGACAAAGTGGAGATCAATGCTGTTGAATACATCAGAAAGTTCACCAACTGCCAGGAGGCACGCACAAGGTGTTTTGAAAAAAGATGATAGCTTAAATATGTATGTTTAATTTTGTATCATCCTTATTTTAATTACAGCTGAATTAATTATAGTAGGTTAAGGTTGCTAAAATATGTGTGTGTGTTTATGTATCATGTTTATTTTATTTTTAATAAAATGTGTAGTTTTTAATCAAGGAGAGATGTTATTGATACTCATCCAGGTCAGATAAAATTCCCCTTTCCACAAACAGAAACTCCTCTCCAGTGAGTTTACTTATTCATATCCTTTCAGTTTATTGTCTCTTATCTCTGGAAGTGGTTATGTAAACAGTTAATACGTGCTCTTGGGTCTCCTTTGAACACTCGTAGCCCCCTACCTGTTGAGTAGCTCTCTATCACATCATTTGTTTCACTTTTTACACATTTCCACTCTGTTATATTTTATCTTTTTATGTGCATGCTTACTTGTTTATTGTCTCTCTCCCCCTGTAACAGAAAATGTTCCTTGGGATGGGCATAACGGCTCACACCCGTAATCCCAGTCCCTCCTGCAGGAACACTGAATTTCAACAACTAATTGCACACACACAAAAGCGCAAGCATAACAACAGAAAACCGGGTGAGCAATCCAAGTACCTGGTTTTAACTTCACATCATTGAATGAAACATACTTAAGAGGGTAGGAAAGACAGTCTCAAATCACCAATAACACCCCTCCTAAATTCCACAGCAGTGGCTGCATGGTGCAAAGAGATAATCTGTGCACTTGAGGAAAAAAAGAGTATAGACATGGGGTTTGGCATTGAACTCAGTACTACCTTGTCACAGCAGAGAGCAAAGCCATGCTGAGCTCAACTGTCACCCACCCATGGAGACTGCATTTGGACCAGCTCTAGACAGAGGGGAATCACTCATCACAGAAGTCAAAACTAGAATTTCTTGGCAAGTCTCACCACTGTGGGCTAAAGTGCTCTGGGCTCTTAGGTAAACTTCAAAGGCAGCCTAGGACACAAGGCCTGCAATTCCTAGGCAAGTCCTAGTGCTGGGTTGGACTTAGAGCCAGTGCAATAGGGGAGCACATGACCTATGGAGACACCAGCCAGGGCTGCCAAGGAAGTGCTTGTGCCACCCCTCCCCTGACCCCAGGCAGTGCAGCTTGCAGCAACAAAAGTGACTCCTTCCTTCTGCTTGAGGAGAGGAGAGTGAATTGTGAAGAGTAAAGAGGGCTTTGTCTTGCATCCTGGATGCAACTAACTGACCACAGTAGGATAGGGGACTGGGAAGAGTTATGAAGCCCACATCCTAGGCCCTAGCTCCCTTCTATGTGAAGTAGCAAGCTTCTGTACATAGATAAAATCACACACATATATTTACATTTGAAGATTATTACCTGAAACATCTTAAGAAACAGATAATAGTGACTTCCTCTGATGAAGAGAACTAGGAGACTGCACTCAGATATGGACAAGAGATTTATTTCTCATTTTATATTATTTTGTACAGTTTCCATTTTTGCTATTTATGATTATCCATTTGGCTTTCAATTTTTCTTTTAAAAGGTAGAAATATTACATTAAAAATCTGTATACAGTACAAGTTCAATTGGATGAAAAGGACTGCATTGATATAAATTATACCATTAACTATTTTAAATAGTATAAGAAGAAGAATGAACTTAAAGGACAAGAATCTAACTAAAAATGAAATTAAGTCTCAGAAAGAAAGGCAAAAACATACAGGAATAACTTGATTAAAAATCATTGTAACTCTAAAATTTCTTAACTAATTCACTACATATTATTGACTCCTTGTTTTATGCATTACGTCTTTACAGATAAAATGGAAAACAAGACATTACAGATCTTACATTCTAGCAGAGAGGTAGACTGTTACTATTAACACAATCATATTGTTCATTCTTTAATAATAATTGTAAATGCTTTGAAGAAAGGGAATATGGCATCAGATTTTAAAAAACTCCTGGGTCCCAAGGAGAGGGCTGTAAAGTCAAATGGCTCTCTTCCTGGTGGGTAACTCACTTATGTACTACTTGATATGAGGTCTCTGCTCTAAAGCTTCTTCATAGCACTTGTCATCTCAGAATTTCTCAGAGTGTAGATTAAGGGGTTCAGCATTGGGGTTATGACTGTATAAAACACACTCACTGATTTGTCAATGGAGAAGGTCCTAGCAGGTCTAGCACACATAAAAATACAAGGAACAAAGAAGAAGACAACCACAGTGATGTGGGAACTGCAGGTTGAGTGGGCTTTTTGCCTCCCTTTCTGACTAAGTTTCTTTAGAGAGTGCAGGATGACACCATAAGAGATGAGTAAGAGCAGAAACGCAATAGTGCAAGACAGTCCTCCATTGGCCACCACTAAGAGGCCAATAACATGGGTGTCAGTGCAGGCCAGTTTCAATAAGGGATACATGTCACAGAAAAAATGATCAATGACATTGGGGCCACAGAATGGGAGCCCATAAATAATGCTAAGTTGAAATACTGATTGCAGAAATCCTCCAACCCAGGACACTACCAGCAGCAAAACACACACCCATTGTCTCATGATAACCAAATAATGCAAGGGCTTACAGATGGCCACATAGCGGTCATAGGCCATCACCAACAGGAGAAAGACCTCTGACCCACCAAAAAGGTGCTCGATAAAGAGCTGGGCCATGAAAGATTGGAAGGATATGGAATTATTCCCAAAGAACAAGTCTGAAATCAATCTGGGGGAAATGGATGAAGAATAAATGATATCTATAAATGTTAAGCCAGCAAGAAAGAAGGACATTGGTGAGCCCAGGGTCTCACTGACAGTTACGGTCACTACAATGAGCAGGTTGCCCACCATGGTCAAAATGTAGAAGAGCAAGAACATAACAAAAAGTACTTTCTGCTCCTTTGGATTCTGTGTGAAGCCCAAGAGGACAAAGTCAGTCACATTTTTCCTTGGCTCCATCTATTCTTTACAGCTGCTTACTTCAGATCATATAAGCAGTTTACCTATAAAACAAGGGGGGAAAACTTTAAATACATTATGATTTTAATATTGTATTTACTCATTCAATTAAAAATGTGTATGCAGTATCTATGTCAAATCTGTCATAGACTTTGGAATTGCCAAGTTGAAAAAGACACAATTTTGTACTCTCAGTGATTTGGTAAATAAAATACCAAAGGGAATAAATTAAATACCAATTAAATAGGTGTCATAATAAATATATTGACATTATTGTAAGGGTTCACAGTGCTAAAACACTAAATCAAACTAGGATCAGGAAAGACTTTTCAGAGGAAGCAATGTCTTAGCTGAGATATAAAGGAAAGGTGATAATTAACTAGAAGAGAGGATGGGAAGGGAATTCCACATAAAGGTGCATCCTGTATAAATTCACAGATGTATAATACTCGAGAAACCACTTAAGGTAACTAACTTACATTTTCAAACTGGGAAGAGCTAATTATGAATGGATCTTTGTATGTGACTACCAACTGACATGTTCAATTGATATCAATTTTTAATTTTCCAGATTAACCCATTTCTTCCTTATTTTCATTTCATTAAATGTTACTACCTACCACACTGTTTAAACTAAAAATTTTACAATCTATTTCACTTCTCTATTTCTTTAATATTATTTATCAATATATTTTTCTCAAACCCTGTTAACTCTTCCTTCAAAATATCCCAATTGGATCCTTCTCACTACCATCTTGTTACCCCCTGGCCTACTCTAATAGCCCCCTGCAAAATCTCTCCACTCATCTTCTGGCCTCTAATAATGTTCTTTCATGAAGTAGCCCAAATGATCTTTTGAAAATCTTATTAATATCATACCACTCCTCTACTCAAAAACCCCATGGTGGATTTATATTCTGCACTCAATGAAATGGAATCTTTCTACCTTGGCCTACAAGACCCTAGATGACCTGGATCCAGGCTACCTCCCCAAATCCATCCCTTACAATTGTCCACATTTATACTGCTCCAGACAGTTTCGATATTCACCAAATATACAATGTGCTTTTCCATATCCTTAATTTAATCTATTTTTTGTAGACACTTATTTCAGAGATTAGAAGCCACTTACTTCTAAAATAATGGTCAATATTGTGGAAATGTGTATTGTAAGTGTAATCTTTTATTTATTCATTCAATTGAAAAATGTTTATATGACACCTACATTGTGTTATGCCTCTCAAATAAAGTAGACTCCCAGCCATCACAGAATGTTCACAAACTCATTCAGGGTTAGGGTTTAGACCAAAAGTGATTATCAGAGGAGAAATATTAGTGCTAACCAAGGAATCATCTTTTCACCATTAGTCACCTACTTTTCCAAACAGAATTATACCTCCTGAGGTGAAAAGATACATAATAACTCTATTTTAATCTATTAATGATAAATAGTATATAAATACTGGCCAACAGCTTTCTAAATTTTCTTCTCAATGATACTGAACTTTCCCTGAGGAAGTCTCCATTGAGCTAGTTGACTTATTTCTAATCAACAGCCTTATTTTAGATGCTGTGAAAACCAAAAGCCTTATTTACTGGGCTTTTACATAAACCATATGTTTAATATGCATGTAGAAAATGCTTCATTTTTCTCAAAGTGTCTATAACACTCTGGTTTTAGAAAATAATTTAGATAGAAAGTGATAGATGATGATGAAGAAGATAGATAATAGATAGACAACCATTTTATGAGAAATATCTAAACCAGTAAATAAATTTTTCTAACACTTGCTGTAAGATATCAAATGCTAATCAGTACTCTGTGTCATATTTTGTAAATGAAATCATCATATAAGTTTATTGAGTTTTTTTGAGTACCTAATGACTTAATAAAAAAAATATGGGAGCATATGTAGTACCATGCTTGTATCAATACGGATAAAGTATCTGGAAGTCTTTGCTGAGAATCTTTTTGTGCTGCTGAGATTATTCCACTGATGTGGATGGTCCATGGCTGTTATGTGACCGTCTGTACTACATGACCATCGTGAATCAATATAGGTGTAGCCATCTCACTGGAATGGCATGTACTGAAAGCTTTATCCAGGCACAGTTTAGATCCTCTCCCCAGTCTGACTTCCTTTCTATGACCCCAATGTCATAGCTCATTCATGTGTGACTTAAACACTTTTTTGAAACTCCTCTGCATGGGTACTACTAATACAATTGGTTTCTTTGTTGCTGCCAATGGTGGGTTCAACTACCTGTTAAACATCATTTTCTTGATGGTTTCTTAAGTGGCCATCCTATGTACTTTGAAAACTCACAGCTTGGAGGAAAGATGCTAAAGTTCTCTACCTGCATCTCTCACACCACCATGGTCATCTTATCTTTGAGTTCTGTATATCTGTGTATCTGTGCCCAGTGACCCTTCCCCAATCAATAAAGCAATGGCTGTGTTTCATACCGTGATAAATCCTATGTTAAAACCTTTAGTCTAACCCTCAGAAATGCAGAGGTGAAAAGTGCTTTGAGAAAGGTCTGGGTCAAAAGATGACCTGAAGAGAGAAATAATCTAAACATAAGATGATTTTACCCTTTCAATGGTGAAGAGAAAATAATATAATATCTAAGACTAAGCGCCAAGTAAATATCATATGTCAGAGATGATTCTGGCATATAAGCCATTTGAGCTAAAGTCCATATAGAAAACTATTTATCATTACAAAAATACCCTTTAGATTTATTTATTGCCAATTTTGTTGTTAATCTTCAGTGTACTGTCACAATTGCACAATAAAGTGGTCAGACAAAAACCAATTTAGCAAGTGTGATTATAAATAATTTACATTGTGCTATGGCTTCACAGCCTTGGAACTTCTAACCCCAACTGTGCTCTGGGTAGATTTCTCAGTGGAAGTGATACCTTAATGAGTTTAAAGAAGTGAGAGAAAAGGATGGAAAAGGGAATTCCATGAAAAGATGTGCCATGTATAAACTCACTGAAGTATCACACTGAAGATGCACTTAATAGATATATATTCATAGTGGGTAGAATGCATTTTGTGTGCAAGGCTATAGACCAAATTTCTTTGTATTATTTACTAGGGCTGCCACCTTATACCAATGACGCTTTTCCTCCACTTTCCAATAACATGTTCCTCATTTCCATTTTTGACCTTAACTACAAGGACCTTGACATTCAAATTTCTAGAAACATTTAGTTCATGATGAAATATGTATTCTCTAAGATAATAGATGTTTTCTCCTCAGCTCCCCTCTTTCATTTCTGAGCCTTCACCAGAATCACTGTTCAATGTCCATATTCCTACCCACAGTAACTTGAAGGATATCCAAGCTCTTTCTATAATGCACCCTCAAACTCTGCAGGTATCTACCCATTACCCAGTTGCAAAGCCACTTCCACATTTGAGGTATTCATTGCAGCAGTACCCCACTCCCAGAACTGAAAGCTGTATTATTTTGCTAGAACAGGTACAATAAAGTAGCACAAACTGAGTGCCTTAAACGACAGAAATTTATTGTCTCATAGTTCTAGATCTTAGAAATTCAAAATTAACTTATTAACAGTGTTGGTTCCTATGGAAGACTATAAGGGAAGGAGATGTTCCAAGCCTCTGCCCTTGGCTTATAAATGACCAACTATAGGTTCCTACAGAATACTCTTTGTATACATGTCTGTATCCAAATTTTCCCATCTATTAAGGACATCAGTCATACTGGATTAGGGTCCACCTCAATCATCTTATTTTAACTTGCATACCTCTGCAAAGACTCACCTCAAATAAGGTTATATTCTCAAGTACTAAGAGTTAGGGCCCCAAAATATGAATTTGTGGGGGGTACATAATGAAACAATAATTGTCATACAACACAATGTATGGTCCATAACTCTCACAGTACCAGATATCTTACCGACCCACTGAAACTTTCTTCTTAGTGTCTTTACTTGAATATTGCTCGTTTTCCTAACTTGTAAATTCTGAAGCACTCTAAAATTGTATGTCTTTACTCCATTTCTCCCCTAATTTTCAAACTCATATCTGCAGCTATCTAATTGATGCCTCCAAATAGACTTCAATTTACGATTTATAAAAGCAAACTTTTAATTTTTCATAATATATCTATTCCTACCTAGGTTTTTTTAATCAAATTAATAAAATGGTACTCCCTTTTGTGTTATTGTTCAGACCAAATTTTATCAGTGTCCTTCACCCTTTATTCTACTCACATTGTTTATTTCTATACTTAATAAGTCCTGTTCACTCTTCCTCTATAATATATTACAAACCTGATCATTGTCACTACACCCCATTCATTCCTGGTCTACTACAATAGCCAGGTCTACCTACTTTCCTTTCGGCATTTGACAATCTGTGTTTCTGAAGTAGCCCAAATGATCTTTTTTTGTTCTTATATTATTCAGATCCTATTACTCCTTTGATCTCAACCCCTACAAGATATTCCTATTATATGCTTAATAAAATCCAATATCCCTACCTTGGCCTGTATACTCAATAAAGTCCAATATCCCTACCTTGGCCTACAAGATCTTAGATGACTGGGATCTAGGAAACCTATTCAGCTAATTTCCTGCAATTCTCTATGTTTACCTGCTCAAGGTTTTTACCACTCCTCAAATATTCAAACTGGTTTTGCATCTTTTTAGTTCTATCTATTCTTTTGCAGATGCCAATCTTAGTAATCATAAGCAGTTTACCTCTAAATTAATGCTAAATATTGTAGAAAGGTGTATTATAAGTTCAGTCTTTCATTTATTCTTTCAACCACCAAGTGTCGATTGAACACATACATTGGGTCACACCAATCAAATAAGATAGACTCCCAGGCATCACCGAGCATCTACTACTCAATTCATCTCAGGATCTATACAAGGGGTCATTTTATCAGAGAACCAAAGTCTTGATGCTGTCCGAGAAATCACGTTTTCACCATGAGTCTCCTACTTCCCTAGGTGGAGGTATAACTTTTTAGGATATATCATGGTTGCTGACTTAACTTTTGTATTTTTTAAATATACTCATGACAAGTATCATATAAAACCTAACCAGCAACTTTGCACCAGCAAAAGTTTTTCAACATTTCAATTCTTACAAAATCAAATGATATAATTTCCTATGTAGTAAAAAATTCACACATCTGCAAAGCTTGGTTTCACTACCACCTGTTAAAATCTTACCTTTGGGAAGCTTATTTATGATTTGAAAAACACTTTACCTCACTCACAAAGAGCTGGAAGTCTCTCTTCAATCCAATATGCACACAGAAGACAAAAAGCTGTATCATTCCTTGATGATATATTTGAAATCATATGGCCACGTCTGTCCATTGTCTTCAGAGTTTCTAAGTATTTCAGAAAATTATGACTTGCACTGTAGAACTATTTTAAAGAAATTCCATGGTGCAAACAGAAAAACTAAAACTTTTCATGTTAGGATAATTTATTAAAAATACAAACAAATCCTATGTCTACATAAGAAGATAGTAACTAGCCTTTTTGAGAGGGAAATTTTTCTCTCATAACTTATTTTCTAGTAATTTCAATAAAGAATAACTGCCATTCCAACGTTTAGCCCATCTCACTCTCTTGTCTTCTTATGGCCAAGTATTCAAGCTTGAAATTTGCAGAGGAAATTCTTGTCCGTTTTTTATATCATGTGGTAAGCCTAATAAAACATCTTCTGAAATAATTAGCCCTTAAAAGGATAGTATCTTCTACCTGACAGAGGCAAATATTATTGAAAAGTTTGTACCTTATAAGCACATTAATCATGGAGTCCTGGAACTGGATTCTGTCTAAGACTGACTTTTGCTTAATTAAGTTCACAGAGATTTTCCACATATTTTTCCAGAACATTTGCATGTAGAGATATTGTCAGATCAATCACATAACTAGGGTCAGAAAGATGTAACAAGGGAGAAAAAAACAACCATTATAGTAGGATTGCCAATCAAGAATAAAATATCAGCCCAGCCACTTCTCGCTAAGAAGATGAATTTATCACATTTTCCCCACTTTGCAATAGCAGCTTTTTTCCTTTTATCTAATTCTCCATTTTTTCTGCCTACAAGTGTAGGTTTGGATATGTTTTTAAAATATTTTATTTAGTTGTTATAACTATTTATCTATGTATTTATTATTCTAAAAAATTGTTATGAGCATCTTTTTCATGCCAAGTTCTATGCCATAAGCTTAAGATACAATAGTTAATGAAACAGAAAAAAAAAAAACAGCATAAAAGTCCTGCCTACATTAACTTTATATCTTCTAAGAAAGTCAGGAGAACAATTTAATAAATTACAATCTGTGATCAGTATTTAAAATACTGAGTATTGTGATGAAAAATAAGAGTGAGATATTACTGTAAAGAAGGTAACCAGAGGTTTTTTTTAAATGGTGATACTTAGCCGAGGTCCGAAGGATGAAACATTGCTCCACGGAAAGTATTGTTACATGTGGAAAGCTCCAATATTTAAAGAGCTGAGCAAGTGCAAGTCAACGGAACGTCTTAGTACCTGAAAGGAAATGGAAAAGAGAAAGGACAGAACAAACTGAGGTTGAAGAGATGGACAGAAGCCAAGCCCTTCAGGGCAGTATAGATCTTGGTAAGGAATTTATGTTTCATTTAAAGTTCTTTTTAAAGAAAAGTAAAGGGGACTTCTAATCTAGCATGTAAAGAGCTTAGAAGTCACCACTGTACCCTAACAACAAGAAAAAAGCTGAACAAACTAAAATACCAACAATTCATCTTAAATCCATCAAAGAAGTGAGCTCACAACGCAAATTGCTGCCCTCAAAATTGCAGAGATAGACAGGCAGATAGAGAGAATCACACCTTCCCTGAGCAGAAACCCACAAGCAGAAACCCCACAGGAGCCAGTGCCAAGGAGGGTAGATGTAGGTCGGAAAACCCTGAACTTAATTGATGTACTTCTTAATGTGGAGAAGCCTGAAAGAGACACCTGAAAGATAAAAACTCTAGGGGAGCCAGTCAAGGTGGGACAGGGCAGGGGGTCTCTCACACTTTTGTGAGTTTTAACTTCATGATCCCTACCTGACACTCACAGAAGATGTTAGAAAAAGTCCTGTCTGTACGTTAAACAAAATTTTTAAAAAATATATCCAAACCCACACTAATGGGAAAAAAAATCAAGTATTAGATAAAAAGAAAATAATTGCTGTGGCAAAGTAGGGAAATAAGTGATAAATTCATCTTCCTGGAGATGTGGAAAAACATTTTTAAATATCCACAGTATTCTGTTCTTCTTAACAAGGCCTGCCCTCAGAAGAACCTATTGTTAACTTGCTGGAATTTTATTACAGCCTAACCTATTTTAAGTAAATGAAATACCCAATCATAGCCTTCTCTAAGGGCCTCTTATAATGGCACTAATCCCATTTATCAGGGCTCTACCCTGATGGCCTAGTCTCCTCTCAGAGGCTCCACCTCCTAACACCATTACATAGGGGGTTAGAATTTTAATACATGAATTTCAGGGTGACACAAACATCAAGTCCATAGCACCTTCAAAAACAGAAATTACCAGGTCAGACAGGTTCACTGGTAAATTCTACCAACTATTTAAGGATTATATTATACCAGTTCTCTAAATTTCTTTTAGAAAATAGAAGAGGAAAGACTTCCTAACTCATTCAATGAAGCCAGCCATACCCTATTCCCAAGAACGAAGACATTACAACAAAAGAATACTTCAGACTGATATCTCTTTTTAACATATATGCAAAAATCCTCAACAAAATATTAGCAGATTAAATTCAACAATATAAAGATAATTGTACACCAGGATCAACTGAGATTTAGACCAGGTATTTTTGAATGTTGATTCCACCCTGCATACCTGGACTAAATCTCAGTAGATCCTGGTGTACAATTTAGTCCAGGTATGCAGGGTGAGATCAACATTCAAAAATCAATTAACATAATCCATTGTGTGAAATGTTAAAGGGAAAAAATCAAATTACCATATTAATAGATGCAGAAAAAGCATTTAAAAAAATCTAACACCTATTTATGATTCTAAAAAAAAATCTGTAAAGTAAGAATCTACAGCCCGCATCACACTTAATGGTGAGAAACTTGAAGCTTTCCTACTAAGACTAGGAAAAAGGCAAGAATGTCTCTTCTCATCACTTCTTGTCAACATTGTCCTGGAAGTCCTAGCTAATGTAATAAGACAAGAAAAAGAATAAGAAGTATACTGATAGGAAGAAATAAAACTGTCAATGTCTGTAGATGACATGATCATGTTTGTAGAAATTTTTTTAAAATCAACAAAAAACTGGAATTAATAATTAGAGCATAGTGGCAGGATCAAGGTTAATGTACAAAAGTCAATCACTTTTCTATATACCATCAATGAACAAGTATAATCTAAAATTCAAAACAAAATATCATTTACTTTAGCATTCCAAAAAAATGAAATACTTAGGTATAAATCTAACAAAATGTGTACAAGTGAGAAAAACTACAAAGCTCTAATTAACAAATCAAGGCAGGGTGCAGTGGCTCAGGCCGTTAATCCCAGCACTTTGGAAGGCTGAGACAGGCAGATCACCTGAGGTCAGGAGTTCGAGACCAGCCTTACCAACATGCAGAAACCCCGTCTCTACTAAGAAAAAATACAAAATTAGCCAGGCGTGGTGGCACATGCCTGTAATCCCAGCTACTCGGGAGGCTGAGGCAGCAGAATCACTTCAACCTGGGAGGTGCAGGTTGTGGTGAGCTGAGATCACGCCATTGCACTCCAGCCTGGACAACAAGAGTGAAACTCCGTCTCAAAACAAAAAAAAAAAAAATGAAAAAGGAGAAACAAATAAAAAAACTAAATAAATGAAGAAATATTTCATATTCATGGATAGGAAGACTCAATATTGTCAAGATGTCTATTCTTCCCAACTTAATCTATGCATTCATTTTAATCCCAGTCAAAATTCCAGCAGAGTATTTTGTAAATATTGACAAACTAATTCTAAAGCTTATATGGAAAGGCAAAAGACCAAGAATAGCTAATGTGATACTGAGGGAAAGAACAAAGTTGGAGAACTGATACTACCCAAATTCAAGACTTGCTATAGAGGTACAGCAATCAAGACAATGTAGCATTGGTGAAGAAATAGACAGATCATACAACAGAGAAATGATATCAGATACTTTGGAAGACAGTTTGGCAATTTCTTATGAAACTAAACATACTGTTATCATACAATCAAGCAAATGGGATTTTTGATATTTACTCAAGATGAAAATTTATGCTCACACAAAAACTCACACACAAATGTTTCTAGCAGCTTTATTCATAATTGCCAAAACTTAGAGGCCATGAAGATGCTCTTTATTAGGTAAGTGGATAAACAAATGTGTGCATCCAGACTATGAAATATTATTCAGTACTAAAAAGAAATGAACTACCAAGCCATGAAAACACATGAAGAAAACAAAATACATATTACTGAGTGAAAATGCCTATTTGAAAAGGTTATATATTGTATATTTCCAACTATATGGCATTCTGGAAAAGGCTAAACTATGGAGACAGCAAAAATATCAGTGGACATTAGGGTTTATGGAAGAAGGAGGGATAAATAAGTGGAGCACAGAGGCTTTTTATTTTTAGTTTTACTTTAAGTTCTGGGATACATGTGCAGAACATGCAGGTTTGTTACATAGGTATACACTTGCTATGGTGTTTTGCTGCACCCATCAACCCATCATCTAGGTTTTAAGCCCCATATGCATTAGGTATTTGTCCTAATGCTCTCCCTTCCCTTGCCACCCATGGCCTGAAAGGCCCCAGTGTGTGATGTTCCCCTCCTTGGGTTCCTGTTTTCTCATTGTTCAACTCTCTCTTATGAGTGAGAACATGTGGTGTTTGGTTTTCTGTTCCTGTGTTAGTTTGCTCAGAATGATGGCTTCCAGTTTCATCCATGTCCCTGAAAAGGACATGAAATCGTGCTTTTTTATGGATGCTTAGTATTCCATGGTGTATATGTGCCACATTTTCTTTATCCAGTCTATCATTGATGGGCATTTGGGTTGGTTCCAACTCTTGAGCACAGAGGATTTTTATGTCAGTTACTCTATTCTACATGATACTGTAACAGTAGATACATGACATTACATATTTGTCCAAGCTCATAGAACATACAATACCAAGAGCAAATCCTAGTGTAAACTAAGAACTTTGAGTTAGATAGGTGTATCAATAGAGGTTTATTGTTGTAAAATTGTACCACTGTGGTGTGTGGAATGTTGATAGTAGAGGATACTATGCATGTGTAGGTACAGAGGTTATATAGGATTTCTTTGTACTACCTGCTCAAATTCCATGACACTAAAAAATAAAATATGTGTTTAAAACAACAACAACCTGACAAGCAATCAGGGAAAGGAAGCTCATACGTGCCAGAGGATAAGTGATTCTGGAGCCCACATTTGGAGCAAAGGTCCAGATAGAGAGATGAGACAATATGAAATGATTTTACCATTTTGGACATAGGTGACTATGGATTTTAAACAGGAATTTAAGTTGGAGACAGATTATCAGAGTTAGCCTTCTTACTTACAAAGTTATAACTTTAAAAAGTTATTTTGAACATCTACAAGTCTCATTGTTTCCCTAAAACAAAGAGAATAACATGTAATTCATGACATTATGATGACAATATGATATAAGGCGTGTAAAGTGCTTATTCAGTGCCTAATACACAATAGTGAACAATATAATTTTTGATTTATTTAAAAAACAATGAGAGTACTAATTAGGTTCAACCTAGCTTTCCTTCTGAAATCAGAGATTGGGTTTCTTCAGGATGGTAGGCCACAGACAAATGAACCACACGTTCATGGATAGAGAAAAATCAATATTATTAAAATGTCCATACCATCCAAAGTGATATACAAATTCAATGTAACCTGTACCATTGTAATCATGTAAAAATTCCAGTGACTTTTTTAAAGTTTAGACTTTTTTAATAAATACATAAAATTCAAATGGAACCACAGAAGACTTCAAGTAGACAAAGCAATCTTTAGGGGAAAAAAAGTTGGAGGCATCAAATTTCCTGATTAAAAATTATGTGACAAAGTGGTTGGGCGTGGTAGCTCACACCTATAATCCCAGCACTTTGGAAGTCTGAGGCAGGTGCATCACTTGAGACCAAGAGTTTGAGACCAGACTGGCTAGTATGGTAAAACCTCTTCTCTACTAAAAATACAAAAATTAGCCAGGTGTGGTGGTGCACATCTGTAATCCTAGCTACTTGGGAGGCTGAGACACGAGAATCTCTTGAACCTGGGAGGTGCAGGCTGCAGTCAGCCATGATTACGTCACTGCACTCCAGCCTAGGTGACAGAGCAAGACTCTGTTTCAAAGAAAATAAAATAAAATAAATTAAAAATAAAAATTATGTCACAAAGCTATTATCATCAAATCAGTATGGTTATAAAAACAGTATGGACATAAAAACAGACACATAGACCAAAGGAACAGCATAGAAAGCCAAGAAATAAGCCCATGCATATACATTTTTCTTCTTTTTTTTTTAAGACAGAGTCTCGCTGTGTCACCCAGGCTGGAGTGCAGTGGGCAATCTCAGCTCACTGCAACCTCCACCTCCCAGGTTCAAGCAATTCTCCAGCCTCAGCCTCCCGAGTAGCTGGGATTACAGTTGCCCACGACCATACCTAGCTAATTTTTGTATTTTTAGTAGAGACGGGGGTTTCACCATGTTGGCCAGGCTGGTCTTGAACTCCCGACCTCAGGTGATCTACCCACCTTGGCCTCCCAATGTGCTGGGATTACAGGTGTGAGCCACTGCACCTGGCCCCAGGCATATACTATTAATTAATCTTTGACAAAAGTACAAAGAATAAAACATAGAGAAAAGTTACTCTCTTCAATTAGTGGTGTTAAGAAAACTGGATATCCACATGCAAAAGAATAAAATTGAACCCTTATACTGTACCATAAAGAAAAATCAAATCAAAATGGATTAAAGAACTAAACACAAGACTATAAACTATAAAACTCCTAGAAGAAAACATCGTGGAAAAGCTGCATGACATTGGTCTTGCCAATAATTTTTTGGACAGGACACCCAAGGCACAAGGAATAAAAGCGAAAACTAAACAAGTGGGAGTACATCAAACCAAAAACTTCGGCATATCAAAGAAAACAACAAAAGTAAAAGACAGCCTAGAAATTGGGAGAAAATATTTGTAACCCATAAATCTGTTAAGGAGTTAATATCCAAAATATATAAGGAATTTACATAACTCAACAGCAAAAAAATTAATAACCCAATTAAATATTACCAAAGAACCTGAACGGATATTTCTTCAAACAAAACAAAAACCTGGCCAATAGATAAAAGCAAAGATGCCCAATATTACTAATCATCAGGTAAATGCAAATTAAAATTACAATGAGACATCACCTCACACTTCTTAGGATGGCTTTATCAAAAAGATAAGATCATAAGTGTTGGCAAGGACGTGGAGAAAAGAGAACACTGGTATACTGGTGGTGGAAATGTAAATTGGAACAGCCATTTGGGGACAGAGCATAAGGCTCATTGAAAAATTAAAAATAGAACTACAATATGGGTCAGTAATCCCTCTTCTGGATATACACCCAAAGGAAATGAAAGTAGTACTTGTAGATATATCTGCACTCACATGTTCATTGCAGCATTATTCACAATAACCACCATATGAAAACAAAACCCGAATGTTTCTCAACAGATGACTAGATTTTTTAAAAAGTATAATAAAATATGAATGTGATTATTATTAAAATATATTATTATGAATTATATTAACATAGTATATTATTACTATATTGATAATGTAATATGTGTATTATAATATATTACTTTAATATAATATATAATATATATAATTTATATATACATGTACATGGTGAAACTATTACTACAGGTATGCACTTTAACATATCCATCATCTCACATGGTTACCTTTTTGCATATATATAATATAATATATAGTATTCATATACATGAATATTATTTCAATTTTAAAAACAAGGAGATCCTGCCATTTGCAATAATATGAATGAAGCTGGAAGACATTATGTTTAGTGAAATAAGCCAGACTCAGAAAGAAAAATATTGCACAATTTCTCCTCTATGTGGAATACAAAAAAATAAAAATAAATAGCTGAATATGTAGAAACAGAGAATAGAACAACAGTGGTTACCAGAGGCAGAGGGTGGGGAAAATGGGAAGATATGTAGGATGAATAAATCTAAAGATCTAAATAAAATGTAGTATAAAAACTATAGTTAGTAATATTGCATTGTATCACTGCAAATTTTCTAACAGGGTAGACTTTGGGTCCTCTAACCAAAAACAAAAATATATATATAAGATGCAAAAAGATAACCATGTGAGATGATGGATATGTTAAACTGTGATATACATGTACATAGTTTCACCATGTACATGTATATCAAAACATTAAGTTGTATAACTTAAATGTATACAATAAAAAATAAATAGAAATGTGAAAATGAAAGTAAAGTAAGAGAAGCATTTTTTCAATCGAAGGACTCTTCCATTAATAAGCATCTCAAATTAAGTTAGAAGAGCTGCTTGAGATTTGCTACCAAATCATATGCTATACAATGTTAGTCCCAGAAGGTTAGTCACATGACTTGGGAGATACGAACCAGGAGCCTCCGTGCAAGTCTTTGAGTTGGAAATCAGTTATCTGAGGCTGGGTTCTGACGATGTCAACAAAGGCGAAGTGGTTCTGCGGTCAGAGAAGCAGCAGCACCTGTGGAGACGTGGCAACATAACCATGGTGTCAGAGGGACAGCGGCTCCTTTGGAGCACCTGTCCCGACAGATGTGCTTCTAAAAGCTATTCCTGGCCATTCAGGTCAGACTCTGCCATTCTAACCCTTCCAAAGGTTCTTTAAACAACTTAATTGCATATAATAAATCCCTTCTACTTAAACTACCTACAGACAATTCTGTGTCATCACCTAAGAACCATGGCTGATATACTAAACTGATCTAAAATTCTCTATTTCAATTTGTCACAAAGAATGGAAAGCCATCAATTGCAGAAGCATTCTGGTTAGCAAGGGTCCCTTTGAAAACTGCATTTACTCATAACAGCCCATTCTTTGCACAGAATAGGCTTGACATGGAATAAACATATGGGCATTTCTTGTGCTGCAAATGCCATAGTGAACAAAACAGCCAATACCTCTACTTTCACGGATTTCAATTCTAACTGGAAAAAATGGACAAAAAAAAAAAAAAAAAACAATTACATCTGACAATCACGTGGTGAAAATGTTGACAACAAAATGTAGCAAAGTAATGTGATAGAAAATAACTCAAAGAGATGGAGAATGGCTTTACATGGATGGCTCAAGAAGACCTCTAAGGAGGAGAAATTGAACTGCAGACTGAGTAATGACAAGGACCAAGCCATGTGAAGATCTAAAAGATGATGAGCATTTGGGGAATAAAGAAGAGCTAGTACAGTGGCCCAAGGGCAAGAATGAGGTCACTGCAGCTGGAGCACAGTGAACAAGCGAGAGAGTCGTGCTGGATGAGATCAAACAGATACATGTTTGAGTGGGGAACAATTGTATAGACTCTGACAGGAGGTGAAAACATCAATTACAATTGGTTAAATAGTTTTCCTTTTACAAATCAACCTAGCTCAACTTCGCTAAGTGAATTTTTTACATGGGGATAAAAGATAGAAATTAATTTTAAAACAATAGTCATGCAGAGGCAAAGTGCAGATCAATGTCATTGACTACACCAAAAAGTCCATCAGAAACAGAAACTACCAGAGGAACACACAAAGACTTCTGGAGAAGGTGGTTGCTTGGATGCATGTGCTTTATTTTGCTTCATCCCGATTTTAGTTAGAGATGAATTAATTATAATATGATAAATTTAGTTGGTGATATTAGGGTCAAAAGGGAAGAGAGAAATTAAAGACAAGAGTTGCATCAGGTCAGATAATATCCCTCCTCCACATACATAAATTTATCTCTACTGTTTTACTTATGACTTTCAGCTCATTGTTCCTCACCCTGGATAGGTTAAACACTAAATTCGTGCACTTAAATCTTTTTAAACACCCAATCTGAAGTAATCCCACCCTGCCTTCTGAGTTGCTCTCTATCATGTCACAGATTTCACCTTTTTAAGCCCTTTTCACTCTGAATTTATCCTTTCTTTAAAAGGTTTATTTATTGCACATTTCCCTGACTAGAATTTTTCTTTATTCAAATGTGTGTCATTTTTCTGGTGTATACCATAGTGCCTAAAAGTGTAAGTTCCAAAGAAAAACTACATGAGCTCAAATCCTACCTCAAGTATTCGCTACCTCTGTGACTAAAGTAATTTATTTAAATTTTCCAGGCTTCATCCAATTGTGTTAGAAATCAAGAAAAACAGTATCTATTTCATAAGGCTCTTGTGCAGATTAGCAAGACAATGACTTTCTAGCATGAACCACGTTGAAGTAAATACTAATAAACTTTAGTAAAATTATTATTAT
Source organism: Homo sapiens (assembly GCF_000001405.40). Lineage (NCBI taxonomy): Eukaryota > Metazoa > Chordata > Mammalia > Primates > Hominidae > Homo > Homo sapiens. The sequence continues at coordinate 54,644,052 of NC_000011.10, read as the reverse complement.
ACCATAACTTTCTTATTAGTCATAAGGATTCTATTAAATTTGATGTCTTCTTTAGACTGATTTTGATTTTGGAGACATTCACACTTTTTTTTTTGCATACTTTAAGTTCTAGGGCACATGTGCACAACGTGCAGGTTTGTTACATAGGTATACATGTGCCATATTGGTTTGCTGCACCCATAAATTTGTCATTTACATTAGGTATTTCTCCTAATGCTATACCTCCCCCTGACCCCCTACCCCACGACAGGCCCTGGGGTGTGATGTTCCCTGTCCTGTCTCCAAGTGTTCTCATTGTTCAATTCCCACCTATGAGTGAGAACAGGTGGTATTTAGTTTTCTGTCCTTGTGATAGTTGGCTCAGAATGATGGTTTCCAGCTGCATCCATGTCCTTCCAAAGGACATGAATTCATCCTTTTTTATGGCTGCATAGTATCCCATGATGTATATGTGCCACATTTTCTTAATCCAGTCTATCATTGATGGACGTTGACTACCTAGATCTTGGACTTCCCAGTTTTAGTGCTGTGAGACATAAATTTCTATTTTTTATAAATTAGTCTGTGGTATTTTGTTACAGCAGCATGAATAAAGTAAGACAAAGACCAAAATAAACAGAAGCCCATCTACTGTTCATAGATGGAAGACTTAATATAATTAAGGTGACAATAATAGTAGTCAAGAACATTCAGTGGAAAATGAATTATTTCTTCAGCAAATGATACTGGGACAACTGGATACCCAAATACAAAGGAATAAATTTGGACCCCTTTCTCTTGTCATATACAAAAATTAACCCCAAATGGATCAAAGATCCAGTGTAAAATCTAAAACCATATAACTATTAGAGGAAAACAGAGGGGTAAATCTTCATGATCTTGGCATTAGACAATGGTTCTTTAAATACAGCAATAAACAGGCAACAAATGAAAAATAGACAAATTGAACTTTATCAAAATTTAAAACTTTTGTGCCTCAAAGGAAACTATCTAGAAAGTCAAAGTCGGTTCATAAAATGGGAGAAAATATTTCCAAATCATATATTTGATAAGGATCTTGTATAAAAATATGTAAAGAACTCTTTACATCTCAAAAATAAAAAGACAAACAACTCAATTAAATATGCACAAAGGGGCCAGGCTCAGCTGCTCATGCCTGTAATCCCAGCACTTTTGGAGGCCAAGGCGGGTGGATCACAAGGTCAGGAAATCGAGACCATCCTGGCTAACACAGTGAAAACCCGTCTCTACTAAAAATACAGAAAAATTAGCTGGGCATGGTGGCAGGTGCCTGTAGTCCCAGCTACTCAGGAGGCTGAGGCAGGAGAATGGCATGAACCCGGGAGGCGGAGCTTGCAGTGAGTTGCAATTGGGCCACTGCATTCCAGCCTGGGCAACAGAGCGAGACTCTGTCTTAAAAAAAAATGCACAAAGATAGTGATGTCAAAAGATAGAATATGAGGTTCCACATCACATTCCCTCACAGAAACACCAATATAAATATCCATCCACACATGAAAATACCTTCACAAGAGTTCTAGATCACAGGTGAGAACTTACAGCACCCAAGTAGAAGACACAATCAAGAAAAGATGCATTGAATGAGGGAATGAACAGCTTTACTTTACCCAAGTCACCCCTTCCCCAAGCCCATGCAGCACAAGGCTAAGAGAGACCCTCTCTGTCCCAGGGCTCTCTTATGTGGAAAAGAAAAGTGAAGTGAGAATTGACTTCACTGCAGACGCCTATTCAGGCCTGCACCAACAGTCTCAAGCACAAGGCTGATTCACGTGAACTTAAGCACCAGGCTCACCCCAGAGCCAGGCAAGTCCCCACAGACCCAGGCTTTTAAACCACCCCAGCACTAGGCCAGCTCTCTTAGACCAAGTCACAAAACCAGCCCTAGTACCAATGAGGTCCTCACTAACTCAAAGCCAGGCTGGCACAAGTAGTTAAGTCACCAGGGCTGCACCACCCCTTCACCACTAAAGCTTCAGGCCAGCACCTTTGCAAGGCCAGCCCATGTAACTACAGGAACCAGACCCACCCCACTGCCAGACTAGCCCCAGTTTCAGGCCTATTCTATGGTTAGACTGCTATGTGGATCTAGGTTCTAGGCCTGCCTCAGTACCAGGCCAGTCTCCATGAAAACAGGCTATCAGCCCACCTCAGCACCAGGCAGGAATGCAAACCAGGCAATAGACCAACCCCTATGGATTCAACTTTCATGTCTGCCCCAGTGAGCACCTGTGGAAGGCCAGTACCCATGGACCCTGGCACTAGGCTTAACACAGGTACAGCTCCACCAAGGAGGACTCAGTTTCCACCCTACCCCAGTTCCAGGCTGTCCCTCAAAAATGCAGACTCAAGGTCTGCTCCAGTGCCAGGCCAGCCCACATAAACCCAGGTTGTAAACTCACCCTGGTGGACCCAGGCTCCAGGCTCACAACTGCAGACCCATGTGTCAGGTCTATTCCCACTGGACTGTAATGCAAGGCCAAACCTGTGGAAACAGACAGCAAGGTTATCTGCCTGGAGACCTCTGCAGTCAAACTGCCCATAGTCTCTTCAACTGTTGGCTCACACAGGAATTCTAGACAAGCTGACTGGTGAAGGACTTTCCCAGCAGAAGCCAGCCTTTACAGGCTACAAGAGATGATAACTTCTTCAAATGCAAAGACACAAAAGCAAGTTTATAAGAATCATGAAGGATCAGACAAACATGATACCACCAAAGGAAATAAATAAATCAACAGTAATTGACTCTAAAGAAATGGAGATATATGAACTGTCTGACAAGGAATTCAAAATAATTGTCTTCAAGAATTCATGGGAATACATAATGCAGATAAACAACTTTAAAAATTAGGAAAACAATGCATGAACAAAATTAGAAGTTCAATAAAAATATATAAGCCATAAAAAGGAATCAAACAGAAATTCAAGAGAGGAACACAGTGACCTGAAAAATTCCATAAAGAGAGCTGCAAAGCAGACTCAACCAAGCAGGAGAAAGAATCAGCAAGCTTGAAGACAGATCGCTTGAAACTTGTCTCACTTGGAGGGAAAAAAAGGAAAAATAAAGTTAAAAGATCCTTTGGTATTTCTGGAACACCATCCTGTGTGTCAATGTATGTATTATGGGCTACCCAGAAGGAACAGAGAAAGAAAGAGAAGCTAAAAGTATGTTTAAAGAAATGATAATAAAGAAAAGAGTCCCCAAATGTAGGAAGGAATATAAACATCCAGACCCATGAAGCCCAAAGATCTACAAAAGTTAGGACATAAGGATGTCTTCACCAAAACACAGTAGAATCAAATTGCCAAAATTAAGGATAAAGAGAGAAGTTTGAAAGCACTAAGGAAAAAATGACTTATCACATACAAAGGAATAAAACTATTAGCAGATTTGTCAGCAGAAACCTTGCAAGCCAGGAGAGGGTGAGATAATATATTCAAAGTGCTGAAAGAAAAAGAAAGAGAACTATCAACACAAAATACTCAGAAAAACTGTTCAGAAATAAAAAAGAGATAAAACTTTCCCAGACAAACATAATCTGAGTGAGTTCATCACCACTGGACCTGCCTTAAAGGGAATACTAAAGGAAATTCTTCATGCTTGAAACAAAAGTGAGCTGAAATGAAAGGACACTAACTAACAACATGAAAACATATGAAAGCATAAACTCCTCGGTAAGGATAGACTATTCTAATACTATAGTAGCCTGGAAATAAACCCAATATCTATTAACTCATCTTTGACAAAGGTGTCAAGAACACACAGTAGGAGGAAGAAGAGTCTCTTCAATACATGGTGTTAGAAAAACTGAATATTCACAAACGGAAGAATGAAATTGGACTCTTATCTCACACCATATACAAAAAGCAAATGAAAGTGGATTGACAACTTAAATGCAATACCTGAAACTATAAGGTTAGTAGAAGAAAACAGGGAAAATAAAATCTTGATTTTGGTCTGGACAATGATATTTTAATCTGATACCAAAAGCAGAGGTCACAAAAGCAAAAATAAATGAGCAGTATTGCATCAAACGAAAAGCTTCTTCACAGCAAAGGAAACAATCAACAAAGTGAAAAGGCAATCTATGGAATGAGAGAAAATATTTGCAAGCCATGTATATGATTAGGAGTTAATATCCAAAATATAAAAGAAGCACATACAACTCAATAGCGAAAAAATTAAAAAATGGACGAAGAATGAGAATAATCATTTCTCAAAAGAAAATATATTAACTTCCAACCAGTATTTGAAAAGATACTCAATATCACTTATTATTATAGTAATGCAAATCAAAATCACAATGAAATATCACCTCACGCATGTAGGATAGCTATATCAGAAAAAAGATAAATGTTAGTGAAGAAGTGGTGGAAAGAAAACCCTTGTGCACAGTTGGTGAGAACATAAGTTGATACAGCCATTGGGAACACAGTATAGAGATCCCCCCCAAAATTAAAAAGCTTCTGATCCAGCAATCTCACTTCTGGTTGTGTATCCAAAGAAAATGAAATCAGTATCTTGAAAAGATACCTGTATTCCATGTTTATTGGAGTATTATTCACAATACAAGGATGTAGTAACAATCTAATTGCCTGTTGGTAACTTAATGGATTAGAAAAGTGATTTTATATACACATAAATATTATTCAGCCTTAAAAGAAAAGAAATTCTTCCATTTGCAAAAACATGGATAAATCTGCAGGACATTATGCTAAACAAAATAAGCCAGGCACAAAAAGACAAATATTGCATGTCCTCACTTTTATGTAAAAGCTAAAATAATAAAACTCATAGAAACAGTGAATAGTATGGTGGTTGTGAGGGGCTAGAGCAGGGAGAAATGGAAATGCTGGTCAAGGTGCATAAAGTTGCACTTATGTAAAATCTGTTGTAGAGCTAAGGTACAGCAAAGTGACTATAGTTATTACTACAGTTTTGTATACATTACAGTAGATTTAAGAAGGTAGAGCTTAAGTTTCTCACCATACCAATAAAAGTAATTAACTATGTAAGGTGATGAGCATATTAATTATGTTGATTATGGTGATTACTACCCAATGTATACATATATAAATCATCAATATGATTTATAAAAATTTCTTGAATATAAAATTGAGTATAAAAATTTCTTGTCAAATATACCTCAATAAAGTAGGAGGAGGGAAAGAAAAATAGCATTTCAAGTCCTTTAAAATGGCTGCCATTAATTTCATGCCCTCAGTGCTCTAGATCTCAAGCAATCAATAACATTTTTCCAAAAAAGGTTTCATATTAGGTGAAAAAATAGCAGCTCTTTCTGTAGCATGAGTCGACAGGGAAACTACATGGGGTGCCCACTCTGGAATTATGCCACCTTGCCATTTACATGGCATTCAGCTTTCTTAGAAGCCTGGGTTCAGATAGGAAAAAGGGACTCTCACAGGCTTAAGTTTTAAATACACAGAATTCAATTCCCCATTCAGGATGGGTGTTTTTCAAACATGTCTCCCCAGAATATCTGCTTCTAAGACAAAGTCTTTCCATCAAAGGAGATAATTAATTCCTGGGAGAGAAAGCAATAGCTAAAAGACAAGGTCTCTGAATCTTTGTAGAAACCTCTTTAAATACACATGCAGTACAAGGTAAAAATGTTTTTTGTTGTTGTTGTTCACATCTCCAAAGCAAGATTCATCAAGAATTGAGTGACTCATTTACATGTATTTCCTCCACACTTTCTTCATCTTACCCTGAGGGGACCAGAGCCATGTAACATCATTTTTTTGTGAAAATGTTCAGAGGCTTTAGGCTAGAAGAAAATATTTAGACTTACAAAGAGACTTTCCTAACAACTGTTGATTTGATATTGAATCACCTGAATAAACTCTTTTGAAGTGTGAAATATCTTTCACATTGAAACTTACTTATCCCAAGAAAAGATAATCTCAAATAGGATTGTGTCTGAGCACCCCTAAACATCATTAAGATCATCAAAGACAACTAAGGTAAGTTTTTCAATAGTGCTGAAGCTTGTCAAAGATTGTTACTTTCTATATATAGTAATCAGTATTTTTCAACACTTTCCAATAGAGTAATAGAGTCTTGCATTCTCACTCCAATTATTCAAAAGGTAGTTGGTAAATATCATTAACCTAATTTGACAGTTGAAATATTTGAGGCTTATAGAGATTAAGCAATTTGTAGAACCAATCTCTCTGATATTGGGTACCATGCTTTCGCCATGAGACACCTCCTTAGTGAATGAGACAAGTTATGAGGACTAAAGCAAAATTTAAATACACTTCACACACACAAAAGACAGAAATATGAATATTAAATGCTATGAATAATATAAAGCCCTGTAAAAGGAAAATTGGAGACCTTTCTTTGTGAGCTTAATGCGTGGGCAAATATTTCTCTGTATTATATTGATCACACTGTCAATTTATCCTGTCTCCTAGGCTTATACAGCCATAAAAACAAATGAAAGTCCTCTGTATGTCCCTAACAGTAGGGTAGATATATTCATATATGTTCTCCCAATTAATTCTCATAACAGTATGTGAGGTGAATATTATTATCATTTTATGGATGATAAGATTAAGATGGAAGGTGCCAAGAAATATACCCCAGGTAAAAGAAGTTATAGGTGGAAAAACGAGGATTCTGATCTAGTCTTTCTGATTCTCAAACTAACACACTTAACTATTGTGATAATGGTTTTTAACACTTTGCAGAAGATTCTGGCTAGGGTCCCGTGCTTTGGAAGGGGATTAAGAAGGAATGGATAGTGCTGAGGGAGGGGCTAAGCAAAAACAGCCCTTCAGTGAATGTAATACCACATTTTTCTTAATATTTAGGAGTTTCAATATATCATTATGTGTGTGTGTCTGTCTGCTGATGAAGTTACTTCATATAAACTTGTCTCTGAAGTAGTATTAAAGTAATTATAAAAATTATGGCCATATCAAAGGGAAATTAAAAGTTCAACATTGTTTATTATAACAATATAAGGCATGAGTTAAGACTTCGGAGGGAAAAAATTAACAAGCATAATCTGAAACTTAATATTGGGTCCAGCCTTGATTATCTGCTCGATCTTGGGAGGAAACTTAATTTCTATGTGTTTCTATTTCCTAATGTGTAAAATAAGTGTAAAAAGACAATAGTAACTAATACATAGGTTTTCAGTGAGGATTCAATAAGCAAATGTCTGTAAAAACACTTGAAAAATGCTGTGTTCAGTAAATATTAGTTAATATTAACACTATAACTATTAATATTAGTCACTGAGATTGTGTCCTCATCTGTAAAATTGATAAAATGAGATCATGTGTGCAAAGCACATTCTACAATGTCATGCTCATAGCAATTATTCAGAGGTGTATATTATTAGCTATTATAAAGTTAATAGGACTTAGACAATAGATTATGAATTCTTTTATAGTAGCTCTTATATTCTTTCTTTACATTTTCACCACAAATTCACTGTTAGTCTTATGTCAACTACTCTAAATAGTCTGCTAACTAAGTTCCATTATCTGGCTTCCAGCTCCTTACTGGATCTCAGCCCACGTCACAAAAAACACACAAAGACCTTCACTAGAGAAATATCCCAAGAATCCCCCTTCTTCAGATTCCTCTTTATCATTTCACTCATATTGTGCATAACATTTCATATTTCATTATTTTCTAAAAAAAGAGAGAGAGAGACAGAGAGCAAATTTTGAGTTTTGCATTCATGTGCTTTACATCTATATTCTATAATCTTTTCAGGCTTAGTTGCCACTATGTGTGCAATCATTCAACTTTTAGTTGTTTCGGATGATTAAGTGTTCACAGATGGTCTCCTGCATGTGTGCTACAAAAGTTTCTCATGTCAAAACTCTTAGCACAGTTTTCACCAGGGAGGAAATTTCAGTAAACCTCCAAAACCCAAAACTTTTTTCCTGTCTCAGAAAAAATCCTCAAATCACAACCCAGTAGAATCCAAGAATTTATTATATTACAAATTACAATGGAGAAGTTTAACAAATTTAAAGATGTATTAATAAAAATTGTTTTCTTTTCAGGTAATGCAATTAGCCACCATTTGAAATACATGGCGAATAGAAACAACGTGACAGAGTTTATTCTATTGGGGCTTACAGAGAATCCAAAAATGCAGAAAATCATATTTGTTGTGTTTTGTCATCTACATCACCACCATGATAGGAAATGTGCTCATTGTGGTCACCATCACTGCCAGCCCATCATTGAGGTCCCCCATGTAATTTTTCCTGGCCTATCTGTCCTTTATTGATGCCTGCTATTCCTCTGTCAATGTCTCTAAGCTGATCACAGATTCACTCTATGAAAACAAGACTATCTTACTCAATGGATGTATGACTCAAGTCTTTGGAGAACATTTTTTCAGAGGTGTTGAGGTCATCCTACTTACTGTAATGGCCTATGACTGCTATGTGGTCATCTGCAAGCCCTTGCGCTATACCACCATCATGAAGCAGCATGTTTGTAGCCTGCTAGTGGGAGTGTCACGGGTGGGAGGCTTTCTTCATGCAACCATACAGATCCTCTTCATCTTCCAATTACCTTTCTGTAGTTCTAATGTCATAGATCACTTTACGTGTGATCTCAACCCTTTGCTCAATCTTGCCTGCACTAATACCCACACTCTAGGACTCTTCGTTGCTGCCAACAGTGGGTTCATATGCCTGTTAAACTTTCTCTTGCTCCTGGTCTCCTATGTGGTCATACTGTACTCCTTAAGGACCCACAGCTTAGAGGCAAGGCACAAAGGCCTCTCCACCTGTGTCTCCCACAACACAGTTGTCATCTTATTCTTTATACCCTGCATATTTGTGTACATGAGACCTCCAGCTACTTTACCCATTGATAAAGCAGTTGCTGTATTCTACACTATGATAACTCCTATGTTAAACCCCTTAATCTACACCTTGAGGAATGCTCAGATGAAAAATGCCATTAGGAAATTGTGTAGTAGGAAAGCTATTTCAAGTGTCAAATAAATGTGACTGGAGCCCAACATGATTCAGCTGAGGCAAGGGTCAAAAGGACATTTTGGGTAATGTCAGCAAGGAATACTTATTGGATAAATAAAATAATTAACCACTGTGATCCATAGATGATGCCTTGAGGGGAGTCAAAATGGGTTCAAGAAAAAGGAGAAAACCTAACCGTGTATCATTCTCACAAACTGGGAAAATTCTACCAATTTGGGGCTTAGTTTCACTAGCTTCATCCATATATATGAAACTCATAGGCCTTCCTTCTAATAAATGTAAAATAAGTAATAAAATAAATATATCTATATTAAGTAATAATGTCCATAACAAACTGAGGGAGGCATTATTCTTATCCCCATTTACCAAAGAGGAAACTGAGAGAAGGGGACAGTGTCAAAATAGAAGTATAAAATAGACAGTAATCAGAATCTCACTGATTTCCCAAACCATGTGCTTAACTACCATGATACCCTGCCAGAAAGATCAGATCATTATAACAGCTATCATTTATTGAGACAAGGACTATGCTGGACACATTGTATATGTTAGTTCATTAAAAATATAACTTTTTCATTAATAATTCTTTCACGTTTATATATCAAAATTAATGGCCTTTGTTTTCTGAAATATTATGCTGTCTAACTACTTCAGGGCTGTAAAAAGCAAAGAACTATTTAGCATCTGATGGGTAAACAATGAAGTTTATACCATGATTCCAAATGTCCTTGTAGGCTTCAGAACCATTTTGTATTACTCATGTTACCCTTTTTATACTGATAATCAACCAGAAAGAGTGATGGTTCAAATAAAGAAGATGTTTTGATATCAAGGAGAAATTTCTATTTATTAAATATACAGTTATACTCCATAAAGTACTTGCCCGATAGATAACAATAGTTCCTGCAAGGTACCATGTCTGGTATACCATAAACAGAATCAATGAATAAAAGGATTAATGAAAATGAATAAATTCAATAAAATATAAAGCAAAAGTTGTAGTGGAGGCTAGGAAAGTATTTTCTATCTTCAGACTAAGAATTCTGGTTGGACCTCATAGGGAAACCACGTTTTTTCACTCTTATTGAAACAATGAGAAAGAAATTGAAACTGCATTCTCAGCATATGAACATGTAGTTTATCTTGATATTTTTCCTACTCCCAGTAAAATTTTATTATCTTATGTATATGGGCTGTTTATATTTTTCTAGCAATCAGTTTGCTTTTTGGTAACATTTTCATATTAAAAGCTGTTTTGTTTGTTGTTTTTGAGACATAGTCTCTCTCTGTTGCGAGGCTGGAGTACAGTGGCACGATCTTGGCTCACTGCAACCTCCGCCTCCAAGGTTCAAATGATTCCCCTGTCTCAGCCTCCCAAGTAGCTAGGACTACAGGCACCTGCCACTATGCCTGGCTAGTAGAGATGGGATTTCACCATGTTGGCCAGGATGGTCTCGATCTCCTGACCTTGTGATCTGCCCACCTCAGCCTCCCAAAGTGCTGGATTGTCGGTGTGAGCCACCACACCCAGTCTAAAAGCTGTTTTTCAAATTATATAGCTACACACAAAGCAATTTCAGGATAACTGTATTCCACTTATTCCTTGCATTCTTTTTTCCTTAATCAACAAATACTTTTTATCCCTAGGAATGTATCAGGCACATTGATAGTTCCTGGGGCTTAGTGGTGAATAAAGAGAAACCAGGGTCCTCTTTTCACAAAAGTTAGGATACTCTGAGACACTTCAAGAAGAGAACAGAGAATTACAACATAATACTATAAATAGTAAGATCACGGAATTACAGAGTGCTGTGAAAGCATGTTAGAAGGACACACAACAAAGACCTAGGAGATCTAAAGAGGATGCCTAGATGAAAAGACATCAAAAACAGAAGCTGACCAGGCACAGTGGCTCATGCCTGTAATCGCAGCAGTTTGGGAGGCCAAGGAGGGTGGATTACTTGAGGTCAGGAGTTCAAGATCAGCCTGGCCAACATGGTGAAACCGTGTCTCTACTAAAAATACAAAAATTGGCTGGGCGTGGTGGCACATGTCTGTAATCCCAACTACTTGGGAGGCTGAGGAAGAAGAATCACTTCAACCCAGGAGGCAGAGGTTGCAGTGAGCCAAGATCTTGCCACTGCACTGCAGCCTGGCTGATGGAGCAAGACTCTGTCTCGAAAAAGAAAAAGAAAAAGAAAAAGAAAAAACAGAAGCCAAAGGCAGAAAAGGGGTCAGCAGAATAAGTAGGCATAAGGTTGAGCTAAGAGGTGCATCTATGAGAGGGAATAAGTAACAAAGGCCAGAAGATGAGAAAGAGTCAGCAGGAAACCCAAACAATTTGCTATGACTGTAATTATCAATTTATCTATTCATTCATCAATTATTTATTGAACCCCCGTTGTGTGCCAGTGTAGGACACTGAGGTTGTAAAAGGGAAAATACAAGATATGAAGCTGGAAAATAGGATCTTGGTAAGATCAAAAAGGGTCTCATAATTGTGTTAAAAATAAATACTAAGTACAATGGAGAAAATAGTGAAAGTACTTTTAAACTAGCAAGAAACTTAGTTGGATTTGTTTTGGGAATGATAACTCTAGCTACAGTATGGAAAATGGATTGAAGGGTCAAGCCTCCCAAGAGAAGAACAGCTAGGAGGTAATTATAATGATTTAGGTGTGAATAAATGGGAGTCTGAACTTCGGTGACTCCCAAGAGATGCTGAATTTTAGGGACACTGTTGCATCCAGCTCAAATGCCCTTTGCCTGGTAAGTGAATTCATGCCCCACCTGCTGTGTCTGGGCTGCTAACAGCTCAGAGCCCCACCCTTCCCTGGACAATTGCACCACAGAAAATAGGAGGTGCAACACCCAGAAGATTATGCCCACCGTCAGGACCCAGCAGTGGCCAATGACTAACAGACATGAAAGTTTAAAAGGTTGCTGTATAATACAATGTATCCTCCAGAGCTTCAACGGCTCCAGACTCAATTGAGGCAGACTTCAATTGAGACCACATCTGAAGCCAGACTCCAGTTGAGATCATGTCCTTTCTTCCCTCTACCATAGTTAGCTTCCCTTAACCCCTTCTCCTTATAAGTCACTTTTGTAAAAATTCTCAATTTCAGATATGCATCTAAGAAACCCAAACTAACGCAGAGTAATAGAGACAGTTTAAGATACATTAATGAATTTTGAGGAAAATAACTTGATATAGGATGAAGATTAGAGAGAAAACAGTCGGGGATGAAACTATGTTTCTGCTTCAGAAGGAGGATACTGAGAAGATGGAACAGAGAAAAGATAAGCCTGCTTTGCCAGCTGAAGAGGCCTCCCCACCTCTAGTAGAACCTTTCCTTCACTCTTAGTGGAAGAAACCTCTTCACCCCTACTGAAAGTTTAACCTTGCGTTGCCTGAGGAAATTATATGTCCTTCCCTGAAGCAGTTTCCCAGCAAAACAATGTTGATTTCCCTCAAGACCCATCTTCATCATCCCTCTTTGCTTCTAGACCTATAACTAGACTCAAGTTTAAACTCAACTGTGAAAGGTTAAGCTGTGGTGTTGCAGATGGCATCTGAACTCACTCCCAGAAGACGATAAACGTTAACTTCAGAACAAATCAAGAAAACTTGATTTGAATGCAAATAAAGCAATGTTATTCCCTAAAAAGTCTTGAGTTTATCACACAGTTTCAGTCAGGTTAGCTGAAGTTGTATTAGTAAGGGAGTGGGGAAAGAGAAAACAAATGTAAGATTATTCTATTTATCTCTAAGTGCTCATGGAACGCATGCCACAATAGAAAATACACTGGGCCACAGTACAAGATGCAGTACATTTCAAAGGACTAAACCATACAGAATACATATCTAATAATAGTAGGCTTCAACTAAAAATTTATAACAAAAATATAACTAAACATTCCCCAATTATTTACAAATCAAGAAACACAATTCTAAATTATTCATATATTAAAGAAGTGCCAATGAAAAATTTTTAATGAATTTTAACTGAAAGGCAGTAAAAACAAAAAAATACTAGATGGCAGCTAAAGAATTGCTCAGAGAGAAATATATAGCTTTAAATGCAATTATTATAAAATAAAAAAGATTAAAGGAAATGAACTAAGCTTTCATCTCCAGAAGCTAGAAATAGTAGAGCAAAATAAATGCATAAAACATGGTATGATATGAATAGTAAGTAGAAGACAGAAATACTTGAGATAAAATTAATTTAAAAATAGAGAAAATACATAAAGATAAGGGTTGGTTTTGTGTAAAAATTAATAAAACTAATTTCCTTAGCAAAATTGGTTTTAAAATATAAGGAAAAAAAACAAATTATGAGAATCAGCAATGAAAAGGCTATGCTGTAGATTCTACAGATCTTAACAAGATAATAAAAAGACATTACAAATGAATTTTGCTAATGTCCTTGCCAGTTAAAAAGAAATGGACCTCTGCTTTGAAAAACACAGTTTTCTACTTTTTGTCATTCAAAAATGCCTGTAAAAACAATATTTGATTGAATAAAGAAAATGTATGCATCCTCCATACGCAAAGAGTCTTACAAGTTAATTAGAAATCATTCAGCTACAAAATGAGCAAAGGACAAGAACAATTTCCAAAAGAAGAATGAATGGTCATTCTTGAAAAACTTTCAACTTCATTAGTATGAAAAAACTTTCAACTTCATTAGTAACCAGAGAAATGCAAATTTAAAATATTTATACTAAGCAACTTTTAATTTTTATTGACAAATAATAATTGTACATATTTATGGGGTAAATAGTGACATTTTGATACACATAATGTATAGTACTAATTCAGGGTAATTAGCATATCCATTATCTCAGACATTTATCATTTCTTTGGAAAAATGCAACTTTCTAAACACACACACACACACACACACACACACACACAAGCAAAACCTGAATAACATACATGTGCTAAATCCGCTCTTGAAAAATTTCCCCTGACTTCTCCCAAAAATATCAGATTACATCCCATGTAGCTTTATCAGTGAATTATACATATCACTTTTAAAAAATACTACCAATTTTATCTCAACATTTTAAGGGATTAGAGAAAATGAAAAAGGGCATTATAAGAAAAAATATCAGATAAATATCTCTCATTAACACAGACACAAAAATTCTAAACCCAATATTTAGCAAATAAAATACAGCCATATATAAAAATAATAATGTATCATGAGCAAGTAAGTTTTGTCCCAGGAATGAAATGTTGATTTCACATTCAAAATCAATTCATGGCCACATGCAGTGGTTCACACTGTAATCCCAGCACTTTGGGAGGCTGAGGTGGGCAGATCGCTTGATCTCAGGAGTTCAAGACCAGCTGGGGCAAAATACTGAGACCACCATCTATACCAAAAAAAAAAAAAAAATTTAATTAGCCAGGTGTGGTGGCATGTACCATAGTTCCAGCTACTTGGTAGGCTGAGGTGGGAGGATAGCTTGAGCCCAGGAAGTTAAGGCTGCAGTGATTGGTGATTGTGTCACTGCCCTCCAGTCTGGGCAACTGAGTGAGACCCTGTCTCAAAAAAAAAATCAATTCATGTAATTCACTGCATGAACAAAATTAAGTAGAAAAAAATATGATCAATTCAGTAAATAGAGAAAAAACTTGATAAGATTTAACATACATTCATGATTTTTAAAAAGTTTAAGAAAACTAGGAATAGAACTTCCTCAGTAGGATAAAGCCTATTAACAAACACCCTACAGCCAACATTGTACTTAATGAGGAAATACTAAAAACTTTCTCTGGGAGTCAGGAACAATGCAAAACTTTCCATTATAATTACATCTATTCCACATTGTGCTGGAGAATCTAACCAGTGCAATAAGGCAAAGAAAAGAAATAAGTGGCATTTATAAAAATGACTAGGAAAAATTTTAAACTGTCATTATTTGCATACAATAATTTTGTGTGTGTAGCAAATCAAAATTTATAAACTATTAAAACTAATACATTTATGAGATGCTACATTGTATTAAAAATTTACAATTAAAAATATGCAACTACAAGATGACTGACTAGATTCAGCTGGGGTACACCTCTTCCACAGAAAGGAACCAATATCAAGTAGATATTCACACTTTAAACAGATCGTGTGAGAAAGAGCACTGGAATTCAACAAAGAGACAACAGGAGACACTGAGGGTGAAGGAAGGAGATATGGGGCTACCTGTTTGGGGTTGCTAGGAGCCAAGAGCTGCCCCAGACCCAAAGAAGGGGTAAGTGACGGAACCCCAGAGCTCCATATTTCTGCTGCAGAATTCCATAATCCTAGCTGTAGGAGAGTCCCTCAACCCCATAGGCCTCTGGACTGGCATAGAGAGCTGCCTGGACATCATGCACAGGTGCTTCTCAAACTTACATGGAGTCTCACAAGCTTCTAAGCACTGGACAGCTGCAGCATGGTGCCATTCTAGGAGCCCATTCCCCAGGGATCTCTTTCCTGCCCTGAGGCTGCCACTGCCACTGCTGGCTGCTGGGCCAGGTACTGAGAGGGGAGGCCAGGGGCTCTCACATGCCTCAAGGAGAGGTTCCACTGCTTCTGCTGTGGGACTGAGGTCATTTGGACCACATGCCCCATGTCTGCCAGTCTCTCCCAAAGCTGTCTGCCTAGCCATTCCTATGGAGAGAGGACCACCCTTCCAAGAGGCAGGCCCACAGTGCAGCCACTGTTGCCCTACGTGAGTGTTCCTCCAGTGGCCAGGGACCAGCTTTCCCTCCCTAACACAGCCAGCACTTGAGTCCAGGAACCCCAAGGGCAAGGCTGCTGGCCTGATCCTATCACTGCACAATTCAAGCATGTCATCCAGGAGCATGGAGATGAGATTTGTGATCTGATCTGATCTGATCTGGAGCCCCCCACAGCCAGAAGTGAGAGAAGAGTGTGGTGTGGGTTCATACTGTTGTACAGGAACTGGGTACCCCTCCCTTCATAGTACCAGACCAGGTAGGGTGTGGCCTGAGAGCCAAAGTTTCTGCCCCAGACAAGGAGTTTCATGGCCTGGGGAGGCTTTTCCATCTGAACACAGACAGCTTAGGATGTGCCTAGAGGTTCTGGCCAGCTGTTGGTGGCCTAATGCTGTAGGGAAACCCATGGGGTTGGAGGTTTGGGGGTGGAGCAGGTCCCACTGCCACTTCCAGCTGCTGATTCATGGCCACCCTTCCCCTCTAGCATGAAGGTGCTTTGATGCAGCAGAAGTGGCTCTGCCCCTTCCTGGAGGGTTGCTCCAGTAGCCTGAAACCTGACCCCAAACCCCCAGCAGAATCAGCACTTGCACCAGCTTTGGAGATCCTGGTTCAGGACTTCCCAGACCCAGCCGTGCCTGGCTTTGCCCCATCCAACCACTGCAGCAGCAGAGCACAGGACAGGGAGCCCTGGGAGTTCCATGGCCCCACCCCTTACATGAGACACCCAGAGCTTCTGTAATGAACAAAATCCAAGGAAAAATCCCACTGCTCCCTCTCTCTTGGAAATGCCACCTACTGGCTTAGAAGTCAACCTGCACAGCTTATTTAACTGCCCACACAACTGCCCAGTGCTCAGCTGGCTTGTATCTGCAAGTGCCACCTACTGACCTGTAGGTAAAACTAAACAACCCAATACAATCCCTGCTGACAGAAGTGCACAATGCTGGGGAATAAAATAAGAGACTTCCCCCTGCTCATCTTTGCAGGAGGCAGTGATCCTTCTCACATGCCCAATCCACTGCCACTACAATGTACAAAGAATAGTATTTGAGAAAACCATTACACTAAGGCTATCATCAAAAAATTCATAGATTTGGCCCCCTGAAAGTACCCAGAAGCAAAGTCAAAGGACCCTACACAATATATCTTATAGTCACACCCTCAAGAGGGGAATAAATTTCTATCCAAACAAAAGTAAATCCAAAAAGGAAACAGCATAAGAATTCTGGGATCATAGAAAAAAAGAGTGTTGCAACACACCCAAAAGATCACACTACCTCTCTAGCAATGGATACTGCTCCCCACATCCAAGGCTGCTCCAGCTTCTGCCACAGCTCAAAGGGATCCTGGCACAGCTCAGGTTGCCACTCTAGAGGGCACAAGCCATAAGCTTTGGCAGCTTCCATGTGGTATTAAGTCTGCTGGTACACAGAGTGCAAGAGTGAAGGTGGCTTGGCAGCCTCCATCTACATTTCAGAAAATGTATGAGAAAGCCTAGATGCCCAGGCAGAAGCCTGCTGCAGGGGTGGAGCCCTTATAGAGAACCTCTAATGAGGCCCCACACGGAGTCCCTACTAGAGCTCTGCCTAGTGGAGCTGTAGAAAGGCAACTGCTACAGTCCAGAATCCAGAATGGTTGAGCTTGCAACCTAAGCATGGAAAAGTCACAGGGCAGAGCAGCCCAAGGCTTTGGGAGTCCACTCCTTACAACAGTGTGCCCTGGATGTGGGACATAGAGTCAAAGGAGAGTATTTGGGAGATTTAAAGCTTAATGACTGCCTTGCTGGGCTTTGAAATTGCATGGGGCCTATAGCCCCTTTCTTTTGGCTGATTTCTCCCTTTTATAAAGGGAATGTTTACCCAAAGCCTGTACTACTATTGTTTCTTGGAAGTACATAACCCATTTTGATTTTACAGGCTTGTAGATGGAAGAAACTAATCTCCAGGTGAGACTATGGACTTGGACTTGGTACTTTTGAGTTAATGCTGGAATGAATTAAGACTTTGGGGGGCTATTGGGAAGGAATGATTGTGTTTTGCAGTGTGACAAAAACATGAGATTGGGGAGGATGGGGGTGGAATGATAGAGTTTTGATATTTGTCTCCACCCAAATCTTACGTTGAAATGTCACCCCCAATGTTGGAGGTGGGGCCTAATGAAAGGTGTTTGGGTCATGGAGGTGGATCCCTCATGACTTCGTGGTGTCCTCGTGATAGTGAGTGAGTTATCTTGAGATCAGGTTATTTTAAAGTCTGTGACATCTTCCCCACACTTTGCTCCTGCTCTGGCTGTGTGACATGCCTGCTCCCACTTCACCTTCCACCATGAGTAAAAGCTTCCTGAGGCCTCTCCAGAAGTCAAGAAGATGCCAATGCCATGCTTGTTCAGCCTGAACAACTGTGAGCCAATTAGACCTCTTTTGTTTCTAAATTACCCAGTCCTGGGTATTCCTTTATAGCAATGTAAGAATGGTCTAACATATTCACCATCATAAAAACACACAAAAGTATAAAATTTACAGGTCTTATAAAGCAGTTACACAACTGAAACTACAAAGCCATTAGGTAACAATTACCATTATGACAGGGAAAAAACTCACATATCAATATCAACTATGAATGGAAATGATTAAATGCTCCACTTAAAGGATATAGACTGGTGGAAGGGATTAAAAAAAAAATCCAGACCGGGCCCAGTGGCTCATGCCTGTAATCCCAGCACTTTGGGAGACCAAGGCACGTGGATCATCTGACATCAGGAGTTTGAGACCAGCCTGTCCAATATGGTGAAACCCTGTTTCCACTAAATATACAAAAATTAGCTGAGTGTGGTGGCACACATCTGTAATACCAGCTACTTGGAGGCTGAGGTAGGAGAATTGCTTGAACCCAGGAGACAGAGATTGCAGTGAGCAGAGATCATGCCACATCACTCCAGCCTGGGAGATGGAGCTAGATTCCATCTCAAAAAAAAAAAATTCAACCAGATGCTGCTTATTACAAACCCACAAAATTGTTGAAGACAATTTGCAGGCTCAAGGTAAATGTGTGGGAAAATATATTCCATGCAAATAAAAACCCAAAGCAAGCAAGAGTAGCCATATTTATATCAAACATAACAGACTTTTAAATCAACAACAGTAAAAAAAAAGACAAAGAAGGTTATTATCTAATGACAATGTATAAATTCAACAAGTTATAACAATCACAAATACATAAACACCCAACATGAGAGCACCCAGAAACATAAAACAAATACTACTAGACCTAAGAAAAGGTGTACAGTGGAATAGGAACAGCTCCAGTCTGCAGCTCCCAGTGAGACTGACGCAGAAGGCAGGTGATTTCTACATTTCCAACTGAGGTACCTGGTTCATCTCATTGGGACTGATTGGACAGGGTGTGCAGCCCACAGAGGGTGTGCCAAAGCGGGGCAGGCTGTTGCCTCACCCAGGAAGTGAAATGGATCAGGGAATTTCCCTTTCCAAGCCAAGAGAAGCTGTGAGAGACTGTACCAGGAGGAACAGTACACTCCTGCCAAGATACTGTGCTTTTCCCATCGTCTTGGCAACCAGCAGACCAGAAGATTCCCTCCAGTGCCTAGCTTGGTGGGTGCCAAGCCCATAGAGCCCAGCAAGCTAAGATCCATTGGCTTGAAAATCTCACTGCTAGTGCAGCAGTATGAGATTGACCTGGGATGCTTGAGCTTGGTGGGGGGAGGGGCATCTGCCATTGCTGAGTCTTGAGTAGGCAGTTTTATGCTTCAGTGTAAACAAAGATGCCAGGAAATTCAAACTGGGCGGAACCCACCACAGTTCAGCAAGGCGGACTGCCTCTCTAGATTCCACCTCTGTGGGCAGGGCATCACTGAACAAAAGGCAGCAGCCTCAGTCAGGGACTTATAGATAAAGCCCCTATCTCCCTGGGACAGAACATCTGGGGGAAGGGACAGCAGGGGCACAGCTTCAGCAGACTTAAACATCTCTGCATGACAGCTCTGAAGAGAGCAAAGTTCTCCCAGCTCAGCCTTCGAGCTCTCATAATGAACAGACTGCCTCCTCTAGTGGGTCCCTGACCCCCATGTAGCCTGACTTGGAGACATCTCCCAGTAGGGGCCAATAGACACCTCATACAGGAGAACTCTGGCTGGCATCTGGCTGGTGACCCTCTGGGACAAAGCTTCCAGAGGAAAGATCAGGCAGCAATAGTTGCTGTTCTGCAGCCTCCGCTGGTGATACCCAGGAAAACAGGGTCCAGAGTGGACCTCCAGCAAACTCCAACAGACCTGTAGCTGAGGGTCCTGGCTGTTAGAAGGAAAACTGACAAACAGAAAGGAATACCATCAACATCAACAGAAAGGACATCCACACCAAAACCCCATCCATAGGTCACCTACATCAAAGACCAAAAGTAGATAAAACTACAAAGATGGGGAGAAATCAGTGCAGAAAAGCTGAAAATTCAAAAAACCAGAATGCCTCTTCTCCTCCAAAGGAACACAACTCCTCATAAACAAGGGAACAAAACTGGATGGAGTTTGAATGAGTTTGACAAATTGACAGAAGTAGGCTCCAGAAGGTGAGTAATATCATACTCCTCCAAGCTAAAGAAGCATGTTCTAACCCAATACAAGGAAGCTAAGAACCTTGAAAAAACGTTAGAGGAATTGCTAACTAGAATAACCAATGTCAAGAGGAGCTTAAATGACCTGATAGAGCTGAAAAACACAGCAAGAGAACTGTGTGAAGATACACAAGTTTCAATACCTGAATCAATCAAGTGGAAAAAAGGATATCAGTAATTGAAGATCAACTTAATGAAATAAAGCAAGAAGACAAGATTAGAGAAAAAAGAGTGAAAAGAAATGAACAAAGCCTCCAAGAAATATGAGACTATGTGAAAATACCAAATCTATGCTTGGTTGGTGTACCTGAAAGTGACAGGGAGAATAGAACCAAGTTTGAAAACACTCTTCAGGATATTATCCAGGAGAACTTCCCCAACCTTGCAAGGCAGGCCAACATTCAAATTCAGGAAATACAGAGAACACCACAAAGATATGCCTCAAGAAGAGCAACCCAAAGACACATAATTCTCAGATTCACCAAGGTTGAAATGAAGGAAAAAGTGTTAAGGGCAGCCAGAGGGAAAAGTCAGGTTACCCACAATGAAAAGGCAATCAGACTAACAGTGAATCTCTCTGCAGAAACCCTACAAGCCAGAAGAGGGTGGGGGCCAATATTCAACATTCTTAAAGAAAAGAATTTTCAACACAGAATTTCATATCCAGTTAAGCTAAGCTTCATAAGTGAAGGAAAAACAAAATCCATTACAGACAAGCAAATGCTGAGAGATTTTGTCACCATGAGGCCTGCCTTACAAGAGCTCCTGAAGGAAGCACTAAACATAGAAAGGAACAACCAGTACCAGCCACTGCAAAAACATGCCAAATTGTAAAGACCATTGACACTATGAAAAAAGTGCATCAACTAATGGTCAAAACAACCAACTAGCATCATAAGGACAGGATCAAATTCACACATAACAATATTAACCATAAATGTAAATGGGCTAAATACCCCAATTAAAAGACACAGACTGGCAAATGGGATAAAGAGTCAAGACCCATCAGGGTGCTGTGTTCAGAGACCCAGGTCATGTGCAAAGACACACATAGGCTCAAAATAAAGGGATGGAGGAAGATCTACCAACCAAATGGAAAGCCAAAAAATGCAGGGGTTGCAATCCTAGTCTCTGACAAAATAGACTTTAAACCAACAAAGATCAAAAGAGACAAAGAAGGCCATTACATAATGGTAAAGGGATCAATGCAACAAGAAGGGCTAACTATCCTAAATATATATGCACCCAATACAGGAGCACCCAAATTCATAAAGCAAGTTCTTAGAGACCTATAGGGAGACGTAGACTCCCACACAATAATAATGGGAGACTTTAACACCCCACTGTCAATATTAGACAGATGACTGAAACAGAAAATTAACATGGACATCCAGAATTTGAACTCAGCTCTGGACCAAGCAGACTAGTAAATATCTACAGAACTCTCCACCCCAAATCAACAGAATATACATTCTTCTCAGCACCACATCGCACTCATTCTAAAATTGACCACATAATTGGAAGTAAAACACTCCTCAGCAAATGTAAAAGAACAGAAATCACAACAAACTGTCTCTCAGGCCACAGTGCAATCAAACTAGAACTCAGGATTAAGAAACTCACTCAAAACCGCTCAACTACAAGGAAACTGAAAAACCTGCTCCTGAATGACTACCAGGTAAATAGTGAAATGAAGGCAAAAATAAAGATGTTCTTTGAAACCAATGAGAACAAAGACTCAACATACCAGAATCTCTGGGACCATTTAAAGCAGTGTGTAGGGGGAAATTTATAGCACAAAATGCCCACAAGTGAAAGCAGGAAACATCTAAAATCGACACCCTGCCATCACAATTAAAAGAACTAGAGGAGCAAGAGCAAACACATTCAAAAGCTAGCAGAAGGCAAGAAATAACTAAGATCAGAGCAGAACTGAAGGAGACAGAGACACAGAAAAACCCTTCAAAAAATCGATGAATCCAGGATTTGGTTTTTTGAAGAGATCAACAAAATTGATAGAGTGCTACCAAGACTAATAAAGAAAAGAGAGAAGAATCAAACCGACGCAATAAAATTTGATAAAGAGGATATTACCACCGAGCCCACAGAAATACAAACTACCATCAGAGAATAATACAAACACCTCTAAGCAAATAAAACTAGAAATTCTAGAAGAAATGGATAAATTCCTGGACACATACACCCTCCAAAGACTAAACCAAGAAGAAGTTGAGTCTCTGAATAGACCAATAACAGGCTCTGAAATTGAGGCAATCATTTATAGCCTACCAATCAAAAAAAGTCCAGGACCAGATGGATTCACAGCCGAATTCTATCAGATGTACAAAGAGGAGTTGATATCATTCCTTCTGAAACTATTCCAATCAATAGAAAAAGAGGGAATCCTCCCTAACTCATTTTATGAGGCCAGCATCATCCTGATACCAAAACCTGACAGAGACACAACAAAAAAAGAAAATTTTAGGCCAATGTCCCTGATGAACATTGACATGAAAATCCTCAATAAAATACTGGCAAACTGAATCCAGTAGCACATCAAAAAGCTTATCCACCACAATCAAGTCGCCTTTATCCCTGTGATGCAAGTCTGGTTCAGCATATACAAATCAATAAATGTAATCCATCACATAAACAGAACCAATGACAAAAACCACATGATTATCTCAATAGATGCAGAAAAGGCCTTCAACAAAATTCAACAGCCCTTCATGCTAAAAACTCTCAATAAACTATGTATTCATGGAATGTATCTCAAAATAATAAGAGCTATTTATGACAAACCCACAGCCAATATCATACTGAATGGGCAAATACTGGAAGCATTCCTTTTGAAAACTGGCATAAGACAAGTATGCCCTCTCTCACCACTCCTATTCAGCATACTATTAGAAGTTCTGGCCAGGGCAATCAGGCAAAAGAAATGAAGGGTATTCAAATAGAAAAAGAGGAAGTCAAATTGTCTCTGTTTGCAGATAACATGATTGTATATTTAGAAAACCCCATCGTCTCAGTGCAAAATCTCCTTAAGTTGATAAGCAACTTCACCAAAGTCTCAGGATACAAAACCAATGTGCAAAAATCACAAGCATTCCTATACACCAATAAAAGCCAAACAGAGAGCCAAATCATGAGTGAACTCCCATTCACAATTGCTTCAAAGAGAATAAAATACCTAGGAATCCAACTTAAAAGGAATGTGAAGGACCTCTTCAAGGAGAACTACAAACAACTGCTCAAGGACATAAAAGAGGACACAAACAAATGAAAGAATATTCCATGCTCATGGATAGGAAGAATCAATATCGTGAAAATGGCCATACTGCCCAAAATCATTTATAGATTCAATGCTATCCCCGTCAAGCTACCACTGACTTTCTTCACAGATTTGCAAAAAAATCCTTTAAATTTCATATGGAACAAAAAAAAAGAGCCCATACAACCCAAGACAATTCTAAGCAAAAAGAATAAAGCTAGAGGCATCACGCTACCTGACCTCAAACTATACTAGAAGGCTAGAGTAACCAAAACAGCACGGTACTGGTACCAAAACAGATATATAGACCAATGGAACAAAATAGAGGCCTCAGAAATAATGCTACACATCTACAACCATCTGATCTTTGACAAACCTGACAAAAACAAGAAATGAGGAAAGGATTCCCCATTTAATAAATGTTGCTGGGAAAACTGGATAGCCATATGCAGAAAGCTGAAACTGGATCCCTTCCTTACACCTTATACAAAAATTAATTCAAGATGAATTGAAGACTTAAACATAAGACCTAAAACCATAGAAACCCTAGAAGAAAACATAGGCAATACAATTCAGGACATAGGGGTGGGCAAAGACTTCATGAGTAAAACACCAAAAGCATTGGCAACTAAAGCCAAAATCGACAAATGGGATCTAATTAAACTAAAGAGCTTCTGCACAGCAAAAGAAACTATCAGTAGAGTGAACAGGCAACCTGCAGAATGGGAGAAAATTTTTGTAATCTATCCATCTGACAAAGGGTTAATATCAGAATCTACAAAGTACTTAAACAAATTTACAAGTAAAAACAAACAACCCTATCAAAAAATGGGGAAAGGTTATGAACAGACACTGCTCAAAAGAAGACATGTATGCAGCCAGAAAACTTATGAAAAAATTCTGATCATCACTGGTCATTAGAGAAATGCAAATCAAAACCACAATGAGATACCATCTCACGCCAGTTAGAATGGTGATCATTGAAAAGTCAGGAAACAACAGATGCTGGAGATAATGTGGCAAAATAGGAATGCTTTTACACTGTTGGTGGGAATGTAAATTAGTTCAACCATTGTGGAAGACAGTGTGGTGATTCCTCAAGGATCTAGAACTAGAAATAGCATTTGACCCAGCAATCCCAGTGCTGGATATATACCTAAAAGATTATAAATCTTTTGACTATAAAGACACATGCACATGTATGTTTATTGCAGCACTGTTCACAATAGCAAAGTCTTGGAACCAACCCAAATGCCCATCAATGGTAGACTCGATAAAGAAAATGTGGTGGCACATATACTTCATGGAATACTATGCAGCCATAAAAAAGGATGAGTTAATGTCCTTTGCAGGGGTACGGATGAAACTGGAAACCATCATTCTCAGCAAAGTAACACAAGAAGAGAAAACCAAACACTGCATTGTTGGGAGCAGGCCCCCCAAAATCTGGCCATAAACTGGCCCCAGAACTGGCCATAAACAAAATCTCTGCAGTGCTGTAAAATGTTCATAATGGCCCTAACGCCCAAGCTGGAAGGTTGTGGGTTTACAGGAATGAAGGAAAGGAACTCCTGGCCCGCCTAGGGCAGAAAACCACTTAAAGGCATTCTTAAGCCACAAACAATAGCATGAGTGATCTGTGCCTTAAGGACATGCTCCTGCTGCAGTTAACTAGCCCAACCTATTCCTTTAATTTGGCCCACCCCTTTGTGTCCCATAAGGGATACTTTTAGTTAATTTAATATCTACAGAAACATGCTCATGACTGGTTTTCTGTTAATAAATACGTAGGTAAATCTCTGTTCAGGCTCTCAGCTCTGAAGGCTCTGAGACCCCTGATTTCCCACTTCACACCTCTATATTTCAGTGTGTGTCTTTAATTTCTCTAGCAGCAGTGGGTTACTGTCTCCCTGACTAAGCTGGTCTCGGCACTGCATGTTCTCCCTCATAAGTGGGAGTTGAATGATGAGAACACATGGACACCAGGAGAGGAACATCACACACAGGGACCTGTCAGGGGGTTGGGGGCTGGTGCAAGGATATCATTAGGAGAAATACCTAATATAAATGAAGAGTTGATGGGTGCAGCAAACCAACTTGGCTCATGTATACCTATGTAACAAACCTGCACATTGTGCACATGAACTCCAAAACTTAAAGTATAATAAAAACAAAAATTCAAAACCATAGAAGAAAAAAGACATTGTAAAGTTCCTCAATTTACTTGAGAAGCCATTATTATGTTGAAATAATAAAATTTAAAAAGAAAACTTCTCGGCCAGGCACAGTGGCTCATGCCTGTAATCCCAGCACTTTCAGAGGCCAAGACAGGCAGATCATGAGACCATCCTGTCTAACACAGAGAAACCCCATCTCTACATAAAAAAATTAGCCGGGTATACTGTGTCCATGTGTTCTCATTGTTCAATTCCCAACTATGAGTGAGAACATGCAGTGTTTGGTTTTTTGTCCTTGTGATAGTTTGCCGAGAATGATGGTTTCCAGCTTCATCCATGACCTTACAAAGTACAAGAACTCATCATTTTTTATGGCTGCCTAGTATTCCATGGTGTATATGTGCCACATTTTCTTAATCCAGTCTATCATTGTTGGACATTCGGCTTGGTTCCAAGTCTTTGCTATTGTGAATAGTGTCACAATAAACATACTTGTGCATGTGTCTTTATAGCAGCATGATTTATAACCTTTTGGGTACATACCCAGTAATGGGATGGCTGAGTCAAATGGTATTTCTAGTTCTAGATCCCTGAAGAATCACCACACTGACTCCCACAATGGTTGAACTAGTTTACAGTCCCACCAACAGTGTAAAAGTGTTCCTATTTCTCCACATCCTCTCCAGCACCTGTTGTTCCCTGACTTTTTAATGATCACCATTCTAACTGGTGTGAGATGGTATCTCATTGTGGTTTTGATTTGCATTTCTCTGATGGCCAGTGATGATGAGCATTTTTTCATGTGTTTTTTGGCTGCATAAATGTCTTCTTTTGAGTAGTGTCTGTTCATATCCTTTGCCCACTTTTTGATGGGGTTGTTTGTTTTTTTTTCTTGTAAATTTGTTGTATTTCATTGTAGATTCTGGATATTAGCCCTTTGTCAGATGAATAGATTGCAAAAATGTTCTCCCATTCTGTAGGTTGCCTGTTCACTCTGATGGTAGTTTCTTTTGCTCTGCAGAAGCTCTTTAGTTTAATTAGCTCCCATTTGTCAATTTTGGCTTTTGTTGCCATTGCTTTTGGTGTTTTAGACATGAAGTCCTTGCCCATGCCTATGTCCTGAATGGTACTGCCTAGGTTTTCTTCTAGGGTTTTTATGGTTTTAGATCTAAGTCTTTATTCTATCTTGAATTAATTTTGTATAAGGTGTAAGGAAGGGATCCAGTTTCAGCTTTCTACATATGGCAAGCCAGTTTTCCCAGCACCATTTATTAAATAGGGAATCATTTCCCCATTTCCTGTTTTTGTCAGGTTTGTCTAAGATCAGATAGTTGTAGATATGTGGCATTATTTCTGAGGGCTCTGTTCAGTTCCATTGGTCTATATCTCTGTTTTGTAACAAATCTGCACGTGGTGCACATGTACCCTAAAACTTAAAGTATAATAAATATATATATATATATATACATTTAAGGCAGAGGCTGGAGGATCACTTGAGCCCACATGTTCAAGGCTGAAGTGAGTCATGATCATGCCACTGCACTCCAGCCTGGGCCACAGAGCAATACCCTGTCTCAAAAACAGACAGACAACTTTTTGCAGCTCAAGTTTCAATCCTTAACAAAAAAATTTGAAATGGTACAAATCTTTTCTTTACCATATACACTTTATTTCAAAATAGGGCTGCAGATAAATTAAGAATCATTTTCCAAAGAAGTTATTTGAGTCTCCTCTTTTCAAAAAGAAAAAGAATTAACAAATAAGTTAAACTGAAAAAATAAAATTTAGGAAATAAAGAACAACCTATAACACATATTCAAATAAAATGACAAATCAGCTAATTTAGAACACTATGGGTGTGTTATTCCTGGAAACCATCAAGGGAAGGACAGAAAACCATCTGCCACAGGAGATGAATAAGTTGACTACTTAATCTCTGGACATCACTTCCCACTGCACGGTCTATAAATTGCTCCAACTAAGCTCCTCCCACTTTCTTTATAAAACTGTGTTGTGAATTTTTGGCAAAAAGATTTTAGACAAATTGTGAAAGTCAAATTCTGTTTGACATACCAAGCCACAAACTTTGAAACTGTTTCCCAGCTTTTACCATTGTAGATTATAAAATATCAAAAGCAGCAAGACTGTCATATGGGCAACATTATGTTTAAGCTGTGTTAAAGTTAAGCAAAATTTTGCATTGAGGAAACATATGTAAAAGTGAGTTATAAACTGTAAATATATGTGTTACATGTTCAAATTTCTTTAATATAGAAATGTAAAATGGATGCTTTAGTTTTTTTCAACTATGGATAAAAATAGTATTTAATGCTAATTTTTTCAGGAAATAAAGTTTAAAATGGCAAAATAAATTTTTAAGGGAAGGAAATGCAGTGTATGATATACCAAAAAAGCAAATAAATTTATTCTTTTTCCAGCAGTGCTATTCAGAAAATGTTATAGAAGTTAAAACCTGTTTTTGAAAATAAGCAAGGCATAGAAATAAAAAAGAGAAATGTGAAAAAAATAAAAGTTAGCCAGGCATGGTGGCAGGGGCCTGTAGTCTCAGCTACTCAGGAGGCTGAGGCAGGAGAATGGCGTGAACATGGAAGGCGGACCTTGCAGTGAGCCGAGATCATGCCACTGCACTCCAGCCTGGGCAACAGAGCCAGACTCCATTTCTAAAAGGAAAAAAAGAAAACTTGTCAATCCCAATTATGAATAAAGTTAAAAAAATAGAAAAAAATAAAAAAATTGTAAAAAGCATAGATTTTAAAAAAAGTGTACAGCCATGTAATAATAGTGGGGGACTTCAATACCCCCACTGATGGCACTAGACAAATCATTGAGGCAGAAAATGAACAAAGAAACTGTGAGCTAAAACTGGACTCTAAACCACATGAACCTAATGGACACTTACAGAGCATTCTACCCAACACATGAAAAATACACATTCTTCTCATCTGTGCATAGAATATTCTCAAAAATAAACCATATACTAGTCCACAAGGCAAGTCTCAATAAATTTTTTTAAATTGAAACCATAACAAGAATTTTCTTGGATCAGAGTGGAATAAAACTAGAAATAAATATTAAAAGGAGCTCTCAAAACAATACAAATCCATGGAAATTAAACAACCTGCTCCTGAACAAACTTCATATCAATGATGAAGCAAGGCAGAAATTTTAAAGAAATTGGAAACAAATGGAAATAGAAACACAGCATCTCAAAACTTCTGATATACAGCAAAAACAGTGCTAAGAGGGAACTTAATAGGGTTCAATACCTACATCAAAAAAGTAGAAATATCTCAAGTTGTCAACCGAATGTTGTACCTCAAGGAACTAGAAAATCAAGAACAAACAATAGCCAAAGTTAAAAGAAAAAAAACTACACAGATCAGAACTTGGTAAAATTGGGACCAAAAAAATATGTAAAGGATCAATGAAATTAAAAGTTGGCTCTTTGAAGAGATGAACAAAATTGGTAGACTGCTAGATAGAGTAACCAAGAAAAAGAGAGAATATTCGTGTAAGTATAATAAGAAATGATAAAGGTGACATTACAATTGATACCACAGAAATACAAAAGATTATCATAAACTACTATGAGCATCTCTACACAAATAAACTAAAAAACCTGGAGGAAAAGTATATATATTTCTGAAAACATATAACATCCCAAGATTGAACCAGGAAGAAATAGAAATGCTAAACTGACCAGTAATGACTAATTAAACTTAAATAGTAATTTTAAAACCTCCCCCAGCTTGTCAAGAAAAGCCAAAGACCAGATAGATTTATAATTGAATTCTACCAGATGTAAAAAAAGTACTGGTACCAACTCTATGGAAGCTGTTTTAAAAAAATAAAGAAGAGAATCCTCCCTTACTCATTCTATGAAGCCAGGATCACTCTGATGCCAAAGCCATTCAAGGGCACATACATACACAAATACTACAGACCAATATCCCTGATCAATATCTATGCAAAAATCTCAATAAAATACCAGCAAAACAAATCCAACAGCACATCAAAAATAAAATGCCCTACAATCAAGTGAGTTTTACTACAGAGATGCAAGAATGGTTAAACATATGCAAATCAATAAATGTGATTCACCATATCATATGAATTAAAAATAAAAACCATGTGATGATCTCAATAAATGCAGAAAAGGAATTTCATAAAATTCAGCATCTCTTCCTGATAAAAACTCTCAAAAAAACTAGGCATCAAAGGAACAAAACTCAAAATAATAAAAATTATATTCAACAAACCCACGGCCAACAGTATACTGGACAGGATACTGTTTAAAGCATTCCCCTTTAAGAACTGGAACAAGACAAGGATGCCCACTTTCAACACTCCTACTCAATACAGTTAGTACTAGAAGTCGTAGCTAGAGAACTCAGGAGAGACAAATAAAACATATCCAAATTGGAAAATAAGAAGTTAAATTATTTCTGTTGACTGATAATATGATCAAAAAACCAAAAAAAAAAAAAAAACAAACACCAAAGACTCCTCCAAAAGACTCCTAGATTTCACAAATGACTTCATTAATGTTTCAGGATACAAAATCAACATGCAAAAATCAGTAGCATTTTTATATACCAATAACAATCATGCTGAGAACTAAATCAAGAAGTGAATCCTATTTACAGTAGTTGCAAGAAGAATAAAATACATACAAATAAACTTAACCACAGAGGTGAAAGATCTCCACAAGGAGAACTACAAGACACTGATAACACAATCATCGATGACACAAACAAAAATCCTATGCTCATGGATTGTAAGAATAAATACTCTTAAGATGGCAAGAAATCTATAGATTCAATGCAGTTTCTATCAAATTACCAATGCCATTTTTCAAAGAATTGGGAAAAGTCCTAGAATTCATATGGAACTAAAAATGACCCTGAATAGCCAAGGCAATCCTAAGCAAAAATAACAAAGCTGGAGGCATTACATTACCTGACTTTAAATTATACTCCAAGGCTATAATAACTAAAACAGCATGACACTGATACAAAAATAGACACATAGATCAATGGAACAGAATAGAGAACCCAGAAATAAAGCCACATACCTATAACTGACTGATTCTCAACAAAGGTGACAAAAATATGCACTGAGGGAAGGACAACCTATTCAATAAATGATAAATTGGATAGCCATATGCAGAGGAATAAATGTGGACCCATATCTCTCACTATGTAAGAAAATTAACACAAGATGGATAAAAAGACTTAAATGTAAGTCTGAAACTATAAAGATCATAGAAGAAAACCTAAGAAAAGCTCTTCTGGACATTGGCCTGGGCAAAAAATTTATGACCAAGTCCTCAAAATCAAACACAACAAAAATATATAAAGGGGACTTAATAAAATTAAATAGCTTCTGCACAGCAAAATAATTAACAGAATAAACAATTTAAAAAATGGGAGAAAATATTTGCAGATTAAGCATCTGACAAAAGGATAGTATGAAGAATCTACAAGGAACTCAAATAAGAAAACTAATAATAACCCCATTTAAAAGTGGGAAAAGGACATAAACAGGCACTTTTCCAAAAAACAGACATACAAGCAGAAACAAACATGAAAAAGTGCTTAACACCACTGATCATCAGAGAAATATAAATTAAAGCCACAATGAAATTCCATCTTACACCAGTCAGACTGGCTATTATTAAAAAGTCAAAAACAACAGGAAATATACAATACTGCTAGGAATAAAATTAATAAAACCTGCAAGAAAAACAGAGGGAGATTTATCAAAGAACTAAAAATAGTACTGCCCTTTGATCCAGCAATCCCACTACTGGGTATCCGCCCAAAGAAAAAGACATCATTCTATCAAAATGACACCTGCACTATGTTCTTTGCAGCACTATTCACAATAGTAAGGACACGGAATCAACCATCAACAGATGATGGATAAAGAAAATGTGAGATATATAGATAGATATCACAAATGTGAGATATATATACACATACATACACACACACACACACACACACACACCATGGAATGGTACTCAGCCATAAAAAATGTAATCTTGTATTTTGCAGCAATATGGATGGAACTGGTGGACATGATTCTAAGTTACATAACCCAGGAACAGAAAGCCAAATGCTACATGTTCTCACTTTTTTTAAGTAACTAAACAGCAAATTTTTATTTAGTTTTTTTGTTATTATTATACTTCAAGTTCTAGGATGCAACTGCAGAATGTGCAGGTTTTTTACACAGGTATACACATGTCATGGTCATTTGCTGCACCCATCAACCCATCATCTACATTAGGTATTTCTCCTAATGCTGTTCCTCCCCTAACCCCCAATCCCCCGACAGGCCCCAGTGTGTGATGTTCCCCTCTCTCTGTCCATGTGTTATCATTGTTCAACTCCCACTTATGAGTGTAGATGTTCTCACTTTCAGTGAGAGCTAAACAATGGCATACATGGACATACAGAGTGAAAAAGTAGACATTGGAAACTCCAAAAGGTGGGAGGGTGGGAGAATGTTGAGAGCTGAAAAATTACTTACTGGATACAATGTTCACTATGCAGGAAATGAGTACACTTAAAGCCCAGACCTCACCACTACACAATATATCCATGGAACAAACCTGCCCTTGTACCCTTAAAATCTATTTAAAAAAAAAAAACAGAACAGTTCTTTGAGAAATCTCCAAACCACTCTCCAAAGTAGCTGAGCTAATTTACATTCCCGCCAACATTATGTAAGTGTTCCCATTTCTCTGCAGCTTCAACAGTATTATTTTTACTTTTTATCTAAAAGTTCAAAATATTTTTTAAATGTACAACTACAAAAAATTGGTAAAAGCAATTTTAAAATATCTAAATAAACAGAGAGATATTCCAGGTCCATGGATTTGGAGACAGGATATTGCTATTATTTTATTCTCTCCACATTAATAATTAGAGATTCTGAAAAAACTGAAAAACAAAGCATAACAAGTTATAAAACAAGATCAATTCACTTATCAGGCGATTATTTGGGGAAAAACAAGAATAGCATGTGAAAATAAATGTCACTAACTATCCTAATCTTGATAAAATGGTAAAAGCACCGTTCCCAAATTTCAAAATACATAAATTGGACTTTATCAAAATTAAAAATGCTTCTGAATCAAAGTACACTATCAAAAAAGTGAAAATCAACCCAAAGAATAGGAGAAATATTTGTAAAATCATATATCTGATAAGAGTCTTGTTTCCAGAATATATAAAGAACTCTTACAACTCAACAAAAAAAGGTAAACAACCCAATTTGAAAATACGCAAAGAATTTGAAAAAGACATTTTCCGAATACGATATACATATAACTAATAAGCATATAAAAATAGGCTAAACATCATTGGTCATTGGGAAATGTAAATCAACATTGCAATGAAATACCACTTCACACCCAGTGGATGGCCATAATTTTTTAAATGGCAATTATCCAGTGTTGGCAAGGATATTGAATAATTGGAAATCTACTACAATTACTAAAGGAAATGTAAAATCTATGGATCTCTGAAAAACTGTTTGGTTGTTCTTCAAAAAGTTGAACATAGAATGACCACCTGACCCAGAAATTCCACTCCTATATATATACCGAAAAGAATTAAAAACAGGTGTTTGAACAAACTTGTACACAAGAGTTTATAGCAGCACTACTCACAATTGTGAAAACAACCTAAATTTCTATCAGTCTGTATGAATGGATAACCAAATTGTGGTATGTCCACAATAAAGTACTGATGCATGCTACAACATGGATGAAACTTGAAAGCATACTAAGTGAAAGAAGACACTAAAGGTTGAAAATTGCCTAATTCTATGTATATAAAATGTCCAAAATAAGCAAATTAATAGGAACAAAAAGCGGATTAGTGGTTACCAGGGACTGGGGAAAAGGGGAAATAGAAATGACTGTTCAACTATTCGGAGGCAATGAAAATGTTCTGCAATTAGATAGTTGTAATTATCGTAAAACATTGTGATTGTACCCAAAGCCAATTGATTATACATTTTTAAATAGTCAAAAAATGAATTTTTTCATATAATTTTTATGTTAAAGAAATCACAACACAAAAGGTATTTTGAAATAAATGAAATTTAAAGCACAACATATCTGAATTTCAGGGAAGTAATAAAAGTTCTAAAAAGGAAATTTGGGTCACAAAGTGTATACATTAAAAATAAATAGGCCGGGCACAGTGGCTTACACTTGTAATCCCAGCTACTAGGGAGGCTGAAACAAGAGAGAATCACTTGACCCTGGGAGGCAGAGGTTGCAGTGAGCCAAGATTCGTGCCAGTGCACTCTAGCCTGGGTGACACAGCAAGACTCCATCTCAAAATAAATAAATTAATTAATTAAAATAATGTCTGAAAACAATTATCAAAGGTTTTGTACTACAGAAACAGAAAATAACAACAAATTAAGCAGAAACTAAGTAGAAGATAGGAAATAATAAAGATTAGAACAAGAATCAATGAAATGTAAATTTTAAAAATAGAAAAATCAATGAAACAAATATCTGATTATTTTAAAAGATCAATAAAATTGATAAACAATTAGCTGAATTAATGTGAAGGAGCAAAAGATGGAAAGAAGTAAGGGGAGAGAGAGAGAAAAGGCAACTCATGTCAATAATGAAAGTGCATATAGCCTTGCAGATTCCACTTAATGATGAACACTATCCCTCTAAGATTGGGAACAAGACAAGGATGTCCACTCATCATTTCCATTCAGCTATGAAACCTAGGTCTAGCAATATACCCTAGGTTTCAGCCATTGCAAAAATATAAGAAAAGGAAATAAAAGACACACAGCTTGCAAAGGAAGAAACAAAATTATAAAAATACGTTTATTTGCAGATGACATAATTATGTAGGTAGAAAATTTAAAGTATTCTGCAAAAAACTAATAGGCCTAATCAGTAAGTTTAGCAAAGTAACAGGATGTAATGTCAATATTTTAAAAATCAATTGTATTTCTACAATAGCAACAAACAATTAGAAATGGAAATTAGAAACAAAATACTATATAAAACATTATTTAAAACATGAAATTTGAGGAGTAAATTATAACAATCAATTCAAAACCTGTATATGAAAAGTAGAACACACTGGTCAGAGAAATTAAATACATAAATAAATGGAGGGATATACCATATTAATAAATAGAAAACAATAATTATTTTACCATATCATTCTATATTTTCAATGCAATTCCAATCATAATTTTTGGAGATGTTGACAAGCTTATCCTGAAATTTATATGCAAATGTGCGAACTTAAAAGGAACTAGAATAGCAAATAATTATCAAAAAGAAGAAAGATTAGTTCTTACTCTACCTAATTTCAAGATTTAGTATAATGTACCAGTATCAATACTGTTTGGTATTGGCTTAAGGATAAAAATATAGCTCACTAAAATATAACAGAATGTCCAAAAATACATCCAAATATATAAATTTTTAAAAGAATGCCAAGGCAACTCAATATTTTTCAACAAATTATGCTGAGTCAATTGGATACCCATAAGAAAAAAAAAAAAACTTCAGCCATTACCTCATATAATGCACACACACACAAAAATGACCTTAAAATGAGTTAGAGATCCACATGCTAAATCTATAAAATTTCTACAAGAATTTGTTTTGACCTTAAGGAAATCCTGCCATTTGTGACAATGTGGAAAAACCTAGAGGACACTATGCTAAGTGAAATAAGCCAGACACAGAAAGTCAAACGCTGTATAATCTCACTTATATGCAGAATCTAAAGAGTCATACTCATAGAAACAGAGAGAATGATGGTAGAATGACGGTTGCCAGGGCCTGGGGAATGAGGGATATGGGAATATATTTATCAAAGAGAACAATCTTTCATCTATAAGATGAACAGGTTCTGAGGATCTCATGCACAGCATGATTAGTAATGTATGTGTTAATTTTCTGTAATAACTATTACACAATGTACGTCTCGATCAAATCAACATTTTATCCACCTTGGATATATAAAATCTTTGTCAATTAAATATTTTTAAATTTAAAAATTAAAATTAATTAAATGGTCACAATTAGTTTCATGCCCTCACTGCTCTAGACCTCAAGGAACCATTAGCAGGTTTCCAGAAAAAGGCGTAATGTTGATTTTTTTAAAAAAGAAAATTCCTGTGACATGAATCAACAGAGAAACTACATCACAGGTCCTCACACAAGTTACGCTACCTTGCTACTCAAACAGAATTCAGCATTCTTAACAACACAGGCTCAGATAGAGAAAGAGGACTCAAAGGATTAGATTCCAAGTGTAAAGAATGAAATTCCTTATTCAGGAATTGTTTGTTTTTTTTTTCCAAACATGTCTCTCCAGAATACTGCTTCTGTGGCAAAGTTTTTCCATCAAAGGAGATAATTAATTCCTAGGAGAGAAAGCAGCAGCTATAAAATAAGATCCCTGAATCTTTACAGAAACCTCTTTAAATATTCATGCAGTGCAAGACAGAAGTGTTTTTCTTGTTCACTCATCCACAGCAAGATTAATCATGGGCAAAGTGATCCATTTATAACTGTTTCCTCCACACCTTCTGCCTCTTGCACTGTGGAACCAGAGCCATATGTAATCAATTCTTCATGGTGTTTCCAGTGAATTGATTTTAATTCAAGTCCCAGGTTTTCTGTGAAAATTTTTGAGACTTAGGCCAGATAAAAAGATTTATAGTCATAAGAACACTTTCTTTATTGAATTATAACTGATATACCAAAAAACTACACATTTAATGTGTACAGTTTTTTAACAACTGTGATTTAACATTGAATCATCTGAATAGGCTCTTTCCATGTGTTAAATCTTTCACACCAAAACTTACTAATTCCAAAAGAAGATCAGTTTGAAGAAGATTGTGTCTGAACACTCCCAAACATCAAGATTATCTAACTAAGACTACTAAGGTAAGTTTTCTAATAGTACCGATGCTTCTTAAAGATAGTTAATTTAAGTAGTCAGTAATCATTATTTTTCAACACCTCAAACATAGTATATAGAGTCTTTCATCCTCATCCCAATGTTTCAAAAGATAGTAAATATAATTAACCTATTTGACAGTTGAAAATTTTGAGTTTCTTAGAAATTCAGCAATTTGTAGGACCCAGCTCTCTGACACCGGGTACCATGCTTCTGCCATGATAATCAGACTAGCCATAAAGATTAAATATATAACTAACCTGCACATTGTGCACATGTACCCTAAAACTTAAAGTATAATAATAAAAAATAATAATAATAACAATAAGCACATGAAATATTACCTAAATAGCATTATGAAAAGTAACAGCATTTCCAAAACAAAAAACTAGTTAGTGAGAAAAGTGGCATTGTTTTAAATTTTTGCCAGTGTCTGGTTTAGTAAAATACAGCCAGATTCTCAAAACAAAAAAAAAAAAGATTAAAACAAAATTAAAATACATATCGTATACACAAAGGACATAAATATGAATACTAAATTGCATAAATCATCAGCTGTTTAGTCCAAGCACTAACATGAAGACCCCTTCCTGGGATCAACAGCTATGGACAGTATGAGTCACTGTGGCTTCTTCAAGAGTAATGTTGGAGATTATTCTTCCTGAGGTTATTGCATGGTCAATGATGCTCTGTTTATTGCTCTAATGATCACTTCTTATGATCCCTTAGCTGTGTACACACCTGTAAAAGTAAAGAAAGTCCTATGTGCATCCACAGCACTGTGGTAAACATTTTCTTATATGTTCCCTCAATCAATTCTCATAACAGCCTGTAAGATGATATTGTTATTCTCACTTTATAGATGAGGAAACAAAGATGAAAGGTGGCAAGAAACATGCCCTGGCTTAAAAAAGTTGCAGGTGGAAAAACAATGATTCTAATCACATATATTTTTAATTCTAAATCTAATATACTTGGCCACTGTAGTAGTTATTTTCTTTTCTTTTTCTTTTTTTTTTTTTTTCTGAGACGGACTCTCGCTCTGTTGCCCAGGCTGGAGTGCAGTGGCCTGATCTCGGCTCACTGCAAGCTCTGCCTCCCGAGTTCATGCCATTCTCCTACCTCAGCCTCCCAAGTAGCTGGGACCACAAGTGCCCGCCACCATGCACAGCTAATTTTTTGTTGCTTTTTTTTTTTTTTTGAGACAGAGTTTCACTCTGTCGCCCAGGCTGGAGTGCAGTGGCATGATCTTGGCTCACTGCAATCTCCGCCTCCTGGGTTCACGCCATTCTCCTGCCTCAGCCTCCCGAATAGCTGGGACTACAGGCACCTGCCACCACACCAGGCTAATTTTTTGTATTTTTAGTAGAGACCGAGTTTCACCATGTTAGCCAGGGTTGTCTCGATCTCCTGACCTCGTTATCCTCCCGCCTCGGCCTCCCAAAGTGCTGGACTTATAGGCGTGAGCCACCACGCCCGGCCAGTAGTCATTTTCAACATTTTGTTCAAGAGTCTGGGGGCCCACGACTTGGTGGGGTGGGGGTGTTGAGGAAAGAGCTGGGACTAGGGGAGAAGCTAAGATAGATGTACCTTCAATGATTCAATACCACATTTTTCTTAATATTTGAACTCAAAGATGTCACTGTGTTGTGGGTGGGGAGGGGGGATACGGCTAATGAAATTGCTCCATACAAATTGCCTCTGAAGTAGTATTAAAGTAAGTATAATCATAATGGTCATATCAAAAGGAGATTATTAGTTCAACATTGTTTATTATAACATAACAACATAGGGCATGAGCTCAGAATTTGGAGAGAAAAAATTAACTAGTATAATGTGACTAATCTTGACTCTGTCCTTTATTAAACTGCTTGATCTTGGATGGGATCTTCAACTTCCCTATGCTTCTACTTCCTAATATGTAAAATAAGTATAAAAATGATAGTACTATTTTCTGGGTTTATTTTGTGATTGCCTGCAAAAAAACATTTAGAAGACACTAGTGCTCAGTATGTTTTAGTTAATATTATCAATATTATGAGTGTTATAATGTTAATATAAATAATATTACATTATTGTATAATATAAATATCATTGTGTTAACATAACTATTAACATTAATCACTAATATTGCTGCCTTATCTGAAAATTTGATGAAATAATACTGGTCACCTAGGATGTTATAAGTGTTCACTGGAATCATGTGTGCAAAGCACTTACTACTATGGCTTTTGCAAGACAATTAATTATTAAAGGGCATATAATATTAGTTATTATAAAGTTAATTAGATTTAGACAATAAGCATTATGAATTATTTTAGTAGCTCTTATATCCTTTTTTTATACTTCTTTCTGTCTCTCTCTGTCACTCTCTGTCACCCAGGCTGGAGTGCAGTGGTGTGATCTTGGCCTCACTGTAATTTCTGCCTCCTGAGTTCAAGTAATTCCCCTGCCTGAGCCTCCCAAATAGCTGGGAATACAGGCAAGCACCATCACGCCTGGTTAACTTTTTGTATTTTAGTAGAGATGGGGTTTCACCATGTTGGCCAGGATGGTCTCGATTTCCTGACCTCGTAATCCACCCGCCTAGGCCTCCTAAAGTGCTGGGATTACAGGTGTGAGCCACCGGCCCAGCCACCCAGTTACTTCTTATGTCAAGTACTCTAAATATTCTGCCCACTGGGGTTCCTTTCTCTGGCTAACACCTGCTTTGCAGAACCTCAGCCCACTTCATCCAAGACATACAAAGACTTGTACTAGTGGGATACTCCAAGATTCCTACTCCTCAAATTCCTCTTCATCTTCCCACTCATATTGACAGTAACCTACCAATGTTCCCCATTTCCTAAAGAATAAATGGCAAATTCCTTAGCTTTACACCATGGCCTTTAAATTCATTGTCAATCTCCCTTTTCAGGTTTAGCTGCTACCGTGTATCCAATCTACTACTTCAAATTGAGCTCTTAGGCCTCCCAGATGATTGAGTATACACACATGACATCCTGACTTTGTTCACAAGAGTTTCTAATGTCGATACTCTTCACAGAGTCTTCACCAAGTAATCTTCAAGAACTGAGAAACTTTATTAACATCTCAAGAAAAACCTTATAGGAATTTACAGTTTAATAAAATTCAAGCATTTATTATTAAAATGGAGATATGTAATAAATTCAAAGTTGTATTAATAAAAAATTTTTACAGGTAATGCAATTAATCATCATGAGAAATACATGGAGAATAGGAATAACATGACAGAGTTTGTTTTGCTGGGGCTTACAGAGAATCCAAAGATGCAGAAAATCATATTTGTTGTGTTTTTTGTCATCTATATCATCACTGTGGTGGGATATGTGCTCATTGTGGTCACCATCACTGCCAGCCCATCACTGGGGTCCCCCATGTACCTTTCCCTGGCCTATCTCTCCTTTATTGATGCCTGCTATTCCTCTGTCAATACCCCTAACCTGATCACACATTCACTCTATGGAAAGAAGGCCATCCTATTCAATGGATGCATGACTCAAGTCTTTGGAGAACATTTCTTCGGAGGTGCAGAGGGCATCCTACTTACTGTGATGGCCTATGACCACTATGTGGCCATCTGCAAGCCCTTGCACTATATGACTATCATGAACCAGTGTGTGTGTGCCCTGCTAATGGGAGTGGTGTGGATGGGAGGCTTTCTTCATGCAACCATACAGATCCTCTTCATCTTCCAATTACCTTTCTGTGGTCCTAATGTCATAGATCACTTTATGTGTGATCTGAACCCTTTGCTCAACCTCGCCTGCACTGACACCCATATGCTGGAACTCTTCATTGCTGCCAACAGTGGATTCATCTGCTTGTTAAACTTTGCCCTCCTGCTGGTCTCCTATGTGGTCATCTTGTGCTCCCTAAGGACTCATAGCTTGGAGGCAAGGCACAAAGCCCTCTCCACCTGTGTCTCCCACATCACGGTTGTCATCTTATTCTTTGTGCCCTGCATATTTGTGTACATGAGACCTGCAGCTACTTTACCTATTGATAAAGCAGTTGCTATATTCTACACTATGATAACTCCTATGTTAAACCCCTTAATCTATACCTTGAAGAATGCCCAGATGAAAAATGCCATCAGGAAATTGTGTAGTAGAAAGGACATTTCAGGTGACAAATAAATGTAACTAGAGCTCAACATTGATTCAATTTAGTCATGTCCTTTTAGGGACATGGATGAAGCTGGAAATCATCATTCTCAGCTAACTATCACAAGAACAAAAAACCAAACACCGCATGTTCTCACTCATAGTTTGGAATAGAACAATGAGAACACATGGACACAGGAAGGGGAACATCACACACTGGGGCCTGTTGTGGGGTGGGGGAGGGGGGAGGGATAGCATTAGGAGATATACCTAATGTTAAATGACAAGTTAATGGGTGCAGCACACCAACATGGCACATGTATACATATGTAACTAACCTGCGTGTTGTGCATATGTACCCTAAAACTTAAAGTATAATAAAAAAAAAAGAAAAAGTCAGAAGGACATTTTGGATAATTGCAGTGGGGCAAATTGATTGGATGAAGAAAACATTCACCATATGATTCATAGATTCTGCATTGAGGGGTATAGAAATGGTTCAAGGAAAGAGAGAAAACAACCGAGGACAACTCTGCATATTTGGGAAATTCTACCAAGTTGGGGCTTAGTTTTACTAGTTTCATCCTGTATATGGATTCATAGGCTTTCCTCTCACAAATAAAAGAAATAATAGCATATATTGGTATCTAGCGGTAATATCTGTAACACTTCAAAGAGGTAAGCACTACTATTATCTTCATTTTACAAGTTAGGAAGCTTACAGGAAGGAGAAGATATCAAAATAGATATGTTGATGAGCTAGTAACCAAACTATAACTGATTTTCCAGACCATACTCTTAACTGCTATGATATTCTGCCACAGAGTGATAATGAAAATGTCAGTTAATTATACTACTTACCATTTTGGGACCACAGACTATGCTAGGCACAATGCATATATTAGTTTGTTATCTAACTAAAAATATAAGAAATTTTATTAACAACTCTGCTTTTTTATTTATCATTATTGATGGTCATTTGTTTTCTGAAACATTATGGTATCTAACCACTTTAAGACTGTAATAACAATAGGCCATAACCTCTCATGGGTAGGTAATGAAGTTTATATCATGTTTCCAAATGTCAGTGTAGGCTTCTGAACGATTTTGTATTGCTCAAGTCACCCATATTATGCTGAAAACCCATCAGAAAGGGTGATGGCTTCATTGAAAGAGCATTTGAATTTCAGGCTGAAATTTCTATTAGTTAAATATACAATCATGGCCCATAAAGTACTTGCCTACTAGATAACAATAATTGCCACAAGGTAGCACAATGTCTGGTACGTGATAAACCTCGAATGATTTAATAGAATTATTAAGGAAGGTAAATGAATTCAACAAAATTTAGAGCTAAAAAAAAAATAGTACTGATGATAGGAATTGTTTTCTTATCTGATTCAGGCACTAAGGAGAATTCTAGCTGGACCTCTTGGGGGAACACAGTTTGTTTTTACTCCTTACGCTGAAGAATACAGAAGAAATAGAAGCAAATTCCTAGCATATGAACAAATAGCTAATCTTGAAATTTTTCTGCTTTCAGCAACATTTTATCTTATGATTATGAGCTATTTATTTTCTATTCCTCTGTCAATCAGTTTACTTTTTGGTAACATTTTATTATTAAAAGCTGTTTTTGGGAGGGGGCCAAGATTGCCGATTAGAAGCAGCTGAGATCCGTGGCACTCACGGAGAGGAAAGAAAAGGACAAGTGATACAGCATCTTCAACTGAAAGATCCAGGTACTCACATTTGGGACAGATCAGGGAAACAACTCCACCCACAGAGAATGAAGAAAAGCAGCACAGCGGTATGGCTCACCCAGGAGCAGCAGGGAGCCAAGGGAACCCCCACGATGCAGTAAGGGAATGTGCAACCCCAGAAAACCATGATTTTCCCATGGATCTTTGTAACCCGTGGATCAGGAAATCCCCTCGTGAGCCCAGGCTACCAGGGCCTTGGGTCCGATACACACAGCTGTGTAGTCTCCACAGAGCAGCTGCTCAGACACACACAGAGACCCAGGAGCTTTACAAACTCGGGCCCAAGGATCCCCAACAAACTTGTCTGCAACTCAGGC
Source organism: Homo sapiens (assembly GCF_000001405.40). Lineage (NCBI taxonomy): Eukaryota > Metazoa > Chordata > Mammalia > Primates > Hominidae > Homo > Homo sapiens. Next base: position 54,601,021 of record NC_000011.10, on the reverse strand, counting down.
AGGGCGGGAAGTCCATAAGTACCCCTAGGAAGGGGGATGAATCCAGGAAGCCAAGCCACCTCGGTCTGCAGGCCCCACTCCCACAGCACCTCACAAGAAAAAAGCTGTTTTGAAGACTATATAGCTGTGTATGTATCCAAAGCCATTTCGGAATAAATATACTTCATTCATTCTTTCTATTTCTTATTCATTGGTTAACAAGTATTTAGAGACCAAGGAATGCATCAGGTACATTGAAAATTGCTGGGGCATTAGTGGTGAATAAAGAGAAACCCAGGTGTTGCCTTCACAGAGCTGAGGATTCACTGAGAGGCTAGCAAAGGAGAAAAGACATAGACCTGAGGGGTCTACTAAAAATACAAAAATTAACTCAGTGTGGTGGCAGGCACCTGTAATCCCAGCTACTTGGGAGGTTGAGGCAGGAGAATCGTTTGAACCTGGGAGGCAGAGGTTGCAGTGAGCTGAGATCACGCCATTGCACTCCAGCCTGGATGACAGTGCGAGACTATGTCAAAAAAGTAAAATAAAGAAAGAAGGAAAGAAAAGAAAAGAAAAGTCAGCAGAATGCATAGGCATGAAGCTGAGAGCAGTGCTTGTAGGAGAGAGAATACATAACAAAGGCCCAGAAGGTGAAAAGAGTATGCAGGAAACCTAATCAGTGCAATATGGCCATGATCATTAATTCACTCATTCACTCAGCAATTATTTACTGAACCCCCAACTTGTGTGCCAGGCAACATGAGAGACACTGAGCTTATAAAGTCTTGTAAATTGTAAGACATGAAGCTAGAGAGATAGGGAAAGAGAATATCAAGAAGGGTCTTATAGTTGTGTTAAGACTTAATGCTAAGGACCATGGGAGAAACAGGGAAGGTATATTTAAGATAGAGAGTGATACAGCTAGATTTTAATTTTTTAATGATAATCCCAACTACAGTATGTAAAATGGATTGAAGGATCAAGACTGGAGGCAGGAGACCACCTAGGGGTTTATTGTAATTATTTCAGTGTGAAAGGCTGGAGATCTCAGCCCTGGTGTTGTCAGTTAGGAAGCAGAATATGGTGGACACTATTATGCCCAGCTCAAATCCCCTTTACCAGGCCAGTGCACATATGCCCCAACTACTGTGTGTCTGGGCTGCTAATAGCTCACAGCCCTGTCCTTTTCTGGTCAATTGCACCAGATAAAATGGGAGGGGCGTCACTTGGGGTATTTTGTTCCCTCTCCCAGGGCCCACCAGAAATGATTGCCTGGAATAGGGTTTAAGAGGTTAGTTCCTTTGTCTCAAGGTGGAAGCAGTTCTGTAGCACAGTGTATACCTCAGAGCTCCCGGGGCTCCAGGCTAGAGGCAGACTAGTTGAGACTACATCCTTCCTTCCCTACTATAGTATGTTTCCTTCAATCTTTTCCCCTTATAAATCACGTTTATTAAAATTCTCATATCATCCTCTGAACCTAGGGAAATCAAACTAACCTGGAGAGATATAGAAACTTTTGAAGAATATTTTTGAATTCTAAACAAAAGAACTTGATATAGGATGAAGATGAGAGAGAGAGAAGTCACAGATGAAACTTGGGCCCTGGCTTAGATCACTGGATGGAAGGAAGACAGAGAAGATTAATGAGATTTTGAATATGTTGAACGATGTTCAAGTCTTAATGTAGTATTAAATATTACTCACATAGGTGATCCTAGGACCTATCCTCAGAAACAAGCCCTGGAGGCAAGGCACAGAGGCAGAATTGTGGTTGACAGGGGTTGGGGGAGGCATAATGTGGAGATGTAGGTCTGAAAGTACAACATTTCAGTTAAACAAAGTGAATAAAGTCCTGAAGATCAAATGAACAGCCCGGTGATTATACTTAATAATAATGTAATGTATACTTGAAATTTACTGGGAGAATAGATCTTAAATCTTACAAAAATAATAGTACCTATGTGAGGTGAGAGCTATGACAACTAGCTTGATTGTGGTAATCATTTTACCATATATACATATATCAAAACATTACATTGCATACCTTAAATATATGCATTTTTGTTAGTCAGTATTACCTCATTAAAGCTAAGAAATATTTATTAGAAATTAAATGATGTGATATAATTATTTAATAATACATAGTTGATTTTTTATTTTAAAGATGCTAATATTTGTCTTATTATTCTAAGTGAAGTAACTCAGGAATGGAGAACCAAACATTGTATATTCTCACTGATATGTGGGAGCTAAGCTATGAGGACAGAAAGACATAAGAATCATACAAAAGACTTTGGGGACTTGGGGAGAAGATTGGGAGGGGTTTGAGGGATAAATAACAGCAAATACGGGGCAGTGTATACTGCTTGGGTGATTGGTGCATCAGGATCTCACAATACTCCACTAAAAAACTTACTCAGAGGAGTACCCAGGCATGTGAGGTGTCAGTCTTCCCCTAATGGGGGGTACCTCCCAGTAAGGCTACTCGGGGGTCAGGAAAAAACTTGAGGAGGCAGTCTGTCCATTCTCAGATCTCCAGCTGCGTGCTGGGAGAATCACTATTCCCTTCAAATCTGTCAGACAGGGACATTTAAGTCTGCAGAGAACTAAATGCCCACAAGAGAAAGCAGGAAATATATAAAAGTGACACCCTAATATCACAATTAAAAGAACTAGACAAGCAAGAGCAAACACATTCAAAAGCTAACAGAAGGCAAGAAATAACTAAGATCAGAGCAGAACTGAAGGAAATAGAGACACAAAAAAACCTTCAAAAAATCAATGAATCCAGGAGATGGTTTTTTGAAAAGATCAACAAAGTTGATAGACCACTAGCAAGATTAATAAAGAAGAAAAGAGAGAAGAATCAAATAGAGGCAATAAAAAATGATAAAGGGGTTATCACCACCAATCCCACAGAAATACAAACTACCATCAGAGAATACTATAAACACCTCTAGGCAAATAAACTAGAAAATCTAGAAGAAATGGATAAATTCCTCAATACATACACCCTCCCAAAACTAAACCAGGAAGAAGTTGAATCTCTGAATAGGCCAATAACAGGCTCTGAAATTGAAGCAATAATTAATAGCTTACCAACCAAAAAAAGTCCAGGACCAGATGGATTCACAGCCGAATTCTACCAGAGATACAAGGAGGACCTGGTACCACTCCTTCTGGAACTATTCCAATCAACAGAAAAAGAGGGAATCCTCCCTAAGTCATTTTATGAGGCCTGCATCATCCTGATAACAAAGCCTGGCAGAGACACAACAAAAAAAGAGAATTTTACACCAATATTCCTGATGAACATCAATGCTAAAATCCTCAATAAAATACTGGCAAACCGAATCCAGCAGCACATCAAAAAGCTTATCCATAATGATTAAGTGGGCTTCATCCCTGGGATGCAAGGCTGGTTCAACATATGCAAATCAATAAATGTAATCTATCATATAAACAGAACCGAAGACAAAAACCACACGATTATCTCAATAGATCCAGAAAAGGCCTTTGACAAAATTCAACAACCCTTCATGCTAAAAACTCTCAATAAATTAGGTATTGACGGGACGTATCTCAAAATAATAAGAGCTATCTATGACAAACCCACAGCCAATATTATACTGAATGGGCAAAAACTGGAAGCATTCCCTTTGAAAACTGGCACAAGACAGGGATGCCCTCTCTTACGACTCCTATTCAAAATACTGTTGGAAGTTCCGGCCAAGGTGATCAGGCAGGAGAAGGAAATAAAGGGTATTCAATTAGGAAAAGAGGAAGTCAAATTGTCCTTGTTTGCAGATGACATGATTGTATATCTAGAAAACCCCATCGTCTCAGCCCAAAATCTCCTTAACCTGATAGGCAACTTCAGCAAAGTCTCAGGATACAAAATCAATGTGCGAAAATCACAGGCATTCTTATACACAAACAACAGACAAACAGAGAGCCAAATCATGAGTGAACTCCCATTCACAATTGCTTCAAAGAGAATAAAATACCTAGGAATCCAACTTACAAGGGATGTGAAGGACCTCTTCAAGGAGAACTACAAACCACTGCTCAATGAAATAAAAGAGAATATAGACAAATGGAAGAACATTCCATGCTCATGGGTAAGAAGAATCAATATCATGAAAATGGCCATGTTGCCTAAGGTAGTATATACATTCAATGCCATCCCCATCAAGCTACCAATGACTTTCTTCACAGAATTGGAAAAAAACTACCTTAAATTTAATATGGAACCAAAAAAGAGCCCGCATTGCCAAGTCAATCCTAAGCCAAAAGAACAAAGCTGGAGGCATCACACTACCTGACTTCAAACTATACTACAAGGCTACAGTAACCAAAACAGCATGGTACTGGTACCAAAACAGAGATATCCACCAATGGAACAGAACAGAACCCTCAGAAATAATGTCACATATCTACAACCATCTGATCTTTGACAAACTGGACAAAAAAAAGAAATGGGGAAAGGATTCCCTATTTAATGAATGGTGCTGGGAAAACTGGCTAGCCATATGTAGAAGGCTGAAACTGGATCCCTTCCTTACACCTTATACAAAAATTAATTCAAGATGGATTAAAGACTTAAATGTTAGACCTAAAACCATCAAAACCCTAGAAGAAAACCTAGGCAATACCATTCAGGACATAGGCATGGGCAAGGACTTCATGTCTAAACACCAAAAGCAATGGCACCAAAAGCCAAAATTGACAAATGGGATCTAATTAAACTAAAGAGCTTCTGCACAGCAAAAGAAACTACTATCAGAGTGAACAGGCAACCTACAGAATGGGAGAACATTTTTGCAATCTACTCATCTGACAAAAGGCTAATATCCAGAATCTATAATGAACTAAAACAAATTTACAAGAAAAAAACAAGCAACCCCAACAAAAAGTGGGTGAAGAATATGAACAGACACTTCTCAAAAGAAGACATTAATGCAGCCAAAAGACACATGAAAAAATGCTCATCATCACTGGCCATCAGAGAAATGCAAATCAAAACCGCAATGAGATAGCATCTCACACCAGTTAGAATGGCCATCATTAAAAAGTGAGGAAACAACAGGTGCTGGAGAGGATGTGGAGAAATGAGAACACTTTTATACTGTTGGTGGGACTGTAAACTAGTTCAACCATTGTGGAAGTCAGTGTGGCGATTCCTCAGGGATCTAGAACTAGAAATACCATTTGACCCAGCCATCTCATTACTGGGTATATATCCAAAGGACTATAAATTATGCTGCTATAAAGACACATGCACACGTATGTTTATTGCAGCACTATTCACAATAGCAAAGACTTGGAACCAAGCCAAATGTCCAACAATGATAGACTGGATTAAGAAAATGTGGCACATATAGACCATGGAATACTATGCAGCCATAAAAAAGGATGAGTTCTTGTCCTTTGTAGGGACATGGATGAAACTGGAAACCATCATTCTCAGCAACCTATCGCAAGGACAAAAAACCACACACTGCATGTTCTCACTCATAGGTGGGAATGGAACCATGAGAACACATGGACAAAGGAAGAGGAACGTCACACACAGGGGCCTGTTGGGGGTGGGGTTAGGGGAGAGGGATAGAATTAAGACATATACCTAATGTTAAGTGATGAGTTAACGGGTGCAGCACACCAACATGGCACATGTATACATATGTAACGAACCTGCACGTTGTGCACATGTACCCCAAAACTTAAAGTATAATAAAAAAAGAACCTTCTCATGTAACCAAATACCACCTGTACCCCAATACCTTATGGAAAAAAAATTTAAAAAACATATACAATGGATTATACCAAGAAAAAGATACTAATATTTGTGATTAATATCTTCCTAAATCCAAACTGTTCATGAAAACCATAATATGTTAAGTGAAGTTTGGCTTATCTATGACAGTTGATGGAATTATTAATGCTAAGTCGAAGTATAAAATCATTCAGGAATGAGCTGGATGTGGAAGGTAGAGCTGGAGGTTGAGGCAGGGTGGTCTGAGGAACACAGATTCAGGGGTACAAATGGGAATGGAGAATGAGATATCTCTGATAACAGCTTTTAATCTTTTTTATTCCATGAGTAATAGTAGGAAATAGAAGTGCGTGGAAAAAAGTTAAACTAATATAAACAATGAAGTGCACTGTGCATATAAGTCATCTTTATTAAGGCTGTTTACCTAATGATCCTCTCTAAGACCGCCTGTACATGCTCAGTGGGGAACTCTTGTGAAAGTTTTAACAAGCATTACCAGTTTCACTGACAACCTTTCTATCTAGACTGTCTGGTCATCTTTATTAATTTCTTCACTACTCTAGAATGAGTAAAAAGACACTCTAGAATTGTGCCCCAGGAATCTCTGCTGCATCCATCTTCTACTCACCACTGTAAAATTTCTTGGGTATCTTCATGCCAGCTACCTGTCTTGATGACTTATGTGTGATTTTGCCTTTCTGCCAGACTTAAGTTTCAGTCACCCTTGGATATCAATTCTGGTTGTGTCCCTGGATGCTATATATTTCAGATTTTCTCATAACTTTACCTTTCTACACATTCCTGTTCCCGTTCTAGTGCCAAAGTCTAACACCTAGTGACCCTTCATATACCTTTTGATAAAGGAGCAGAAACTAGATCCTTCATGCTTTGAAGTGTATTACAATTGCCAAATCATGAAAATTCAGTTAAAAGTTTAAATAAGCCAGGCATGTGCCTCATTTTTTAATCCCAGCACTTTGGGAGGCTGAGGTGGATGGATCACCTGAGGTCGGGAGTTCGAGACCCACATGGCCAACAAGGCGAACCCCCGTCTCTACTAAAAATATAAAAATTATCCAGGCATGGTGGCACATGCCTGTAGTTCCAGCTACTCGGGAGGCTGAGGCAGGAGAATTTCTTTAACCCAGGAGCCCAAATTGTGCCACTGCACTCCAGCCTGGGTGACAGAATAAGACTCTGTCTCAAAAAAAAAAAAAAAAATTCCAAGTAATTGTTCATCTTCTGTCTATATATCTTCAGTGAAAGAATTAATCAGATACCAGTGCATAGCTAATAGTAAAATTAAATGAAATTATAACATGAGATTATACAGATTCTTTTAATAAATTGTGTTATTTTCATTTTTAGACTTTACAGTAAAAAAATAGTTGCAGCTACCTACTACCAACAAAGTGTGTAGAATAAGGAGCCATATCTCAATTTATATCTCATTCTGCCACTAACTTGAGGTTTGATCAAATCATGCCATATATATGCACTTCAATATCCTGTAAAATGTGTTACAAGAATTAAGGATAAAATTTGGGTGCTATTTGTCAATGTATTGCCTCTCAGCTCCAAATACAACCTTCATTGCCTGCTGCATATTAATGAAAATAAGCCGTGTAGAAATTTATCCTCTGCACCTAGTCTTCTTTGATGCTAAGTTTTGCCAGTATAGGAAATCAAAAGGGACATCTCTTCCTGATTTAAATATGTTTCTGTTTTCATCTTACTCTATGTAGCTTCCAGCACATGTGTTTGGCTGGGGGAGGGAGAGATATTCAGAAGTGCTCACTTCCATTGAGGTTCACTGACAACTTTACGGAAAATTTCCCATTGAGTTTCAGTGGTGCCTCTGCAGGGAGATTCCAATAAATCACACAGATACTCCAGCAATCAGTTTTCCAAAACTGCCTATCTATAATGGGGTAGCCTTGGTCCACCTGCACCCTAGAGGGTTATTTCCTCCTTGCCAGTCCAGGCTACAGTTCCTCATTTACCAGCCTCAGTCCACCAGTATCCCAGTGAAAGTCTCCCTGCTGGCCAGTCCCAGACAAGTTTCTTGTGGGGCAGCTTCTGTCCGGCTACCATGAACTAGTTCTGGCCCAAGACTACCCAGTGAATTTCTCCATCATCCAATGGGCAACAACTACACTTTCTTCAAAATATTGGAATCTCAGCCTTGGGAAGGGAGCCCAGCTCCCAGATGTGTTCCTTTCTTAGTTACTCATCTCTCAGTCACAGGACATTCTTTACTTCTTTATAGTTAATCCCTCGATATAATTAATAATTTTATGTAAATTTTCACTGCTCAAATCGGGGAAGCTGTGTGATCTGTCTCCTGATTGAACCCTAACTGGTACAATATGGAAAAAACTTAATAAAATGCAGCCTTGCAGGCATTAGATGAACAGTACATCTTTTTACAATACGACCAATATATAGTGACCAATAAAATTTACAAAAGAAAGTATGTATATATTAAGCCAGAGTCCAAAGTAAAGAAATATCATTAAACATGTTAATTTCAATAATCAGCAGTAACCAACTGCTTAATATTATATAATAAGATTATTTTAATATCAATCTAATATTCTACATTTATACTTTTTAGCATCTAGAGACGTTTCAAGTTTCCAGGCAATTGATGAATATGTATTAATTAAAAAACAATAGTGGTGATGACAAGAGTGTAGGATAAGAGACAGTAAGCTTTACAGTCCAAGCTTTAGCTTTATTCTTTACTGACTATCTGCAAGCATTAGCCAGCCCCTTGTTAGAGTTGACATATTCATCTACAAATCAAGAAGCTTAAATACCTATTACCTCTATGTTGAGTGCTCAATGGTCTTATTTAATTATTATCTGAAATCACTTTTTTTCTCCAAAGCTTCCTTATCACACTTTTTAACTCAGCATTTCTGAGTGTGTAGATCAAAGGATTTAACATTGGGACCACCATAGTATAAAATACAGCAGCAGCTTTTTCAATGTGCAGAGTGGTCACTGGGCACAGATACACAAATATACAGGGCACAAAGAATAAGACAATTACTATGATGTGAGAAATACAGGTGGAGAGGGCTTTACCCTTCCCCTCCAAGCTATAGTTCTTTAAAGATCTCAAGATGATCACACAGGATACCATCTAGAGAAGGAAGTTTAATAGGCAGATGAACCCACTGTTGGCAGCAACAAAGAAACCAAGGGTGTGAGTGTCCAGGCAAACAAGTTTTAACAAAGGGTACAAGTCACACATGAAGTGGTCTATTACATTGGGGCCACAGAAGGGCAGCCATACTGTAAAGAGAATCTGAATAGTTGCATGGAGAAATCCTCCCATCCAGGCCACTACCGCTAGGAGAATGCACAGGCTTTGGCTCATGATGGTTGTGTAGTGCAGAGGTTTGCAGATGGCCACATTGTGGTCACAGGCCATCACTGTCAGCAGGATGATCTCAGTAGCACCAAAAATGTGTTCTGCATAGGCTTGAGCCATACACCCATTAAAGGAGATGATTTTCTTCTCATGAAGGGAATCGGCAATCAACTTAGGAGCTGAAGAAGAAGAATAAACTGTGTCTATCAAAGAAAGGTGGGTCAGGAAGAAGTACATGGGGGAGATCAGAGCCTGGCTGGTGGTAATTGTAACCACAATGAGCAGGTTGCCTGAAAGTGTTATCATGTAAGGAACCAAAAATACTGCAAACATGATTTTCTCCATTTTAGGGTTCTGTGTAAGACCTGTTAAAATGAATTCAGTCACATTCCTTTTATTCTTCATCTATGTAGTGTGGGTGATAAAACCTCCAGGAAGGAATATTTTACCTTTAGAAAAAAAAAGGAAAAAAAAGAAGCATAAAAGAATCAAATAGTCCAAAACTTTGTCTTTTCATTACTCTGCCATCTCACAGGTGATTCCTTCTGCTCCCAAAATTCTCTAGGAATAGGTACCCGTAAACTTCTCTAGCTGACTTCTTAGTTTTTTATTAGCCTGACCTCAAAAATATTCTTAGAAGACATGGGACACCCAGAAGAGAGAGATTCCATTTCCTAGAGGGTAGTTGTTTCAAAACTTCACTTAGACATCAATATGATGGATTAATGCATTCATTAGAGGTAATAGTTTTGGAGACTAATAAGACTTTAAAATGTATGTATGAAATAACATGAACTAAAAACCATAAAATAGTCTGTATATCTTAATTATAATTAGGCAAGTATTCTATAGGTTAAAAGTTAGTGATAATAGTTATAGATTTAGTATTTGAAGATTATGGGTTTTATAGGTATATTTTAGTAACAAAATTTAACTTCAAGAATTTTAGTTATAAAATTTTATATAGGTTTTGTTTTACCTACGTTAAAACATATGGGTAGAGAAAAGTTGGTAAGGAAAAAATACATTTAGGACATTTAGTTCTAGATGTGAAACTATGGGTGATTTTTATCTCTATGTTTTTTAGTATTTTCTACAGCTTGCATAACTACCTGTATAGTCAGAAAAGAAATATTGTTTCTATATATTTTCTTGGAGACCTGAAGCTGGAATCATAAATGTTTACATTGAGCAGAATATGTAAGAAAACAAATATAGGGAATTGTACCTTGGTACACGACGGGAATCCAGAAAATAGCTGGGTATAGTTGAAATAACTACTATAATGTGCTCATTAAATTTTTGTCACCAAGTCACCAAATGGACACAGGGAGAGTGCCTGACTGGACCCTAACTTTTCTGAAAAGATCAGGACAGAGGATGAGGCTGCCATGACTGCCCATGGATCTTTTAGAATCTTCCTAATATCATCTTTAGTCTACCAGTCAAAGATTTTTGATCTCTGGTTTTATATCATTGATATGATAGCCAATAAGTCAAGTCTGAATAATCAACGAGAATCTCCTTAATACATAGTCTATTTTCATTTACTTGAAGAAGAATGCACATTTCATTCAATTAACTTTAAGATAGTACTTAAAACTAGGTTTTGCTATTATTAATTCTCATTTTTTCCTAGACTTCAGATTTTTTTTCTTTATCTTTATGTGTTCTTAAAGCACAAAGGCAGTGGTGGGTAAGATGAATTGCCTCTGTTTCATGAGTACATGAAAAGGTAACATCTTCCTGATGATCCCACAAATGCTTCATTGAGAAGCGGGCCTAAGAGCTCCAAGCTCTAGGATCATGGTCTCCCTTCTGGATAGCCCAATGCTCCAGAGAATCCTTTCAGGGACAAGAACTCTTGAGAATAAGGTTGGATGCCCTTCTAATTACCAACTTTCCCTAGAGGAGATGGCTTTTGAGAGAACCAACAATCAACTAATGTTTTTACAACTTCCTGAAGGTCTGTGCCAAAGGTTAGACTTCCTGATCAAAACCAGACAGAAAACTCCAAACTTGACTCATTCATTTTCAATATCTCACTTATTCAATTTCTTGCAAGTCTTGAAGTAATTAGAATATATTTAAAGAGCAGTGCTTTTTTACAATTTTCATCTCCTCCCTATTTCCCTGCAGACACAAACATACAAACAGAACAACTCAGTCTCATGTTCAAAATTCGTGTCTTTGTTCTTCACTGTTAATTGGGAGACTTGAGCCAAAGATAGCACAGAACTAATCCAAAGATATAGTGTGCCTATTACCATTTAAATCCTCTAATACTCATATTTTTACAGAAATTAGAAATGGAGAAAAGTGTCAACCTAGCAGAAAGACCTTGATATTCCATAAAAGGGCCCTCAGACGGCAATTGAGAGGTAAGGACATAAACAAACTTCTTCCCAGAGAAACCGTTGTTACCTTTTTAAATTTCATATACTAGTTTTGAAATGCAAACTTTTACTACCACTCTGCTTTTCCCCATTCTTACTTTCTAGCATGCAGAGATTTATTTTTATACCCTGTACTTCCTAGAATAATTGTTCATTTTTATTGTGTACTTGCCATGTGCTTGGTACTATACTAAATGCTTTACATGCATTTTTTCACTTAATCTTCACAACAATGCTTTGAAGATGGTACACAATTATCCATATTTGAAAGAAAAGTAAACTGTGATGAGAAGAAAACTTACCCAAAATTACAGTGTTAATAAAAATAAAAAACAGAGAAGCCTGTATTCAAGCACAAGATGTCTGCTTCTAGCTCTTCAGCATTTAACCAGTGCTTCTCTAGTATCAATCGAGTTTACTTCTGGGACTCAGCATTGCCAGAGTTTGGACAAGTGGACTAGTACCTAAAGCTAACACCTGTGACCATAAGAAATTAATGGCATTCCTTTTGCTAAGCTAAGAAATGCAGAGTCAGATGTAATGAGTTCAAGGGTCTAATTGGACAAGACTCTAGAATTGTTAGACATTAAAAATCCTGAGGTACCTTGCACTGCATCAACTTATCCATACTTTAAAGATGAAGAAACTGAAGTCTCAAGAGGTAATATCCGAGAAAACACAGCTAATTTATTTTTGGCAGAGAAGAATAAGAAAATCTATGTCTAATAATGCCCAACAAAATTAATTTTTTTCCATCACATCTGGCCTTCCTTAAGATAGCTTAATACAAGTGTAGACAAGGAAAAATCACCTTACAGTGACAAAATTAACTTTCATGTCTTATCTATACCAAAACCTGTCTTGATTTTCTAAGAAAGAGGCTAAGTCTTAGTTCAGGGATGAAGAAATGCAGCCATATTGCTGAGACCACATCCATTGTGGCAGAAACAAGTTCTCATCTGGTTAAAACAATATCTGGGATCACTTGAATAGAGTCAAAATAAAAAATACCCCTAAGCTTGGAGTTTAATATAGATTCCTAATTACAGCAGAGGGTACACTCTTTACTTGCAGATCCTGTATTTTAATGCACTTGCCTTTTGATCTCAGTCTTAGAGCTAAAGTTTTCATTTGAATAAAATAATCCAAATTCTCTCCTTCTCTTACTTCCCATACTGACCTGTCCTGAGCACGGTGAAGGTCACACACCCTGTCAGCTCTACTTTAATTTTGCCTTTCTTTATTTTTAATTGTTTCTCATATCTCCTGCTACTAGTACAAGGTGAGATTTTCCCTCTTTTTCTCCCTGGGGACTTTCAAAGTCAGAGTATTATTTCAAGGAAATGAGTGATTCTACATAAACCAATCTCTGACTATCATTACATCATATGCCCTACCCCTGGAGAAAATCCTCAATGACCCATCCACCTACTGCACTCTCTCCACACTTAAAAGCCTAGAAATTGACTGAGGAATCCATAAAATGTTAACCTTTTCCTGACAAATTGTAGTTATATCAATATACAGTGAGGAGAATAAATATTTCTGCAAATTATCCTAAAACATTTAGAAGGGATTCACCATCAAATATCAGATGTAATACTTTAATGGTTTCAATTATAAACCCCTTGGGAGAAAGAAGAAATGTAAGAAACTGGATTAAGAATAAGCACTTTCAGGTAACTTACTGTGATTGCCTCTATTGTTTAGGAGAATGGCCAATGTATTCAGAAATAGGAAGTAACCATTATAGGTAGCTGTTCAAACAACATGTTATGTAATGTATATACCCAAGCCTCCACTGACTGCACAATTTTACAAAAAGCACAGAATGTCAAGATGACACAAATTTCTTCAAATGGATTCAGCAAGCATTTTCAAAACTCCAATGCCTTTGAAGTTCAAGTTAAAGGTAAAGAAAATGTTAGTTGAATTTGAAACTCCAAGTTCTTAGTTACTAAACAGAATCTTCTGATATTCTCCAGCATATATATCTATATTGTAGAGGAAGGGACAAAAGGGAGGAGCCAAGATGGCCGAATAGGAACAGCTCCAGTCTACAGCTCCCAGCGTGAGCGACATTGAAGATGGGTGATTTCTGCATTTCCAACTGAGGTACCAGGTTCATCTCACGGGGGAGTGCCAGACAGTAGCTGCAGGACAGTGGGTGCAGTGCACCAGGTGCAAGCTGAAGCAGGGTGAGGCATCACCTCATCCAGGAAGTGCAAGGAGTCATGGAATTCCCTTTCCTAGTCAAAGAAAGTGGTGACAGATGGCACCTGGAAAACCGGATCACTTCCACACTAATACTGTGCATTTCCAACGGGCTTAAAAAATGGCAAACCAGGAGATTATATCCCACACATGGCTCAGAGGGTCCTATGCCCAAGGACTCTCACTCATTGCTAGCACAGCAGCCCGAGATGAAACTGCAAGGTGGCAGTGAGGCTGGGGGAGGGGGGCCCATCATTGCCAAGTTAGTTGTTTGATTAGGTAAACAAAATGGCAAGGAAGCTTGAACTGGGTGGAGCCCACTACAGCTCAAGGAGGCCTCTTTGCCCCTGTAGGCTCCACCTCTGGGGGCAGGGCACAGACAAACAAAAAGACAGCTGTAAACTCTGCAGAACTAAATGTCCCTCCCTGACAGCTTTGAAGAGAGTAGTGTTTCTCCCAGCACGCAGCTGGAGATCTGAGAACGGGCAGACTGCCTCCTCAAGTGGGTACTTGACCCCTGAGTAGCCTAACTGGGAGGCACCCCCCCACTAGGGGTGAACTGATACCTCACATGGCTGGGTACTCCTCTGAGACAAAATTTCCAGAGTAACGATCAGGCAGCAGCGTCTGCAGTTCACCAATATCCGCTGTTCTGCAGCCACCACTGCTGATACCCAGGCAAACAGTGACTGGAGTGGACCTCTAGTAAACTACAACAGACCTGGAGCTGAGGGTCCTGTCTGTTAGAAGGAAAACTAACAAACAGAAAGGACATCCACACCAAAAACCAATCTGTACGTCACCATCATCAAAGATGAAAGGTAGATAAAACCACAAAGATGAGAAAAAAACAGAGCAGAAAAACTGGAAACTCTAAAAATCAGAGTGCCTCTCCTCCTTGAAAGGAACACAGCTCCTCACCAGCAATACAACAAAGCTGGATGGAGAATGACTTTGATGAGTTGAGACAAGAAGGCTTCAGATGATCAAACTACTCCAAGCAACAGGAGGAAACTCAAACCAATGGCAAAGAAGTTAAAGGCTTTGAAAAAAAATTAGACGAATGTATAACTAGAATAACCAATGCAGAGAAGTCCTTAAAGGACCTGATGGAGCTGAAAACCAAGGCACGAGAGCTACATGATGAACGTGGAAGCCTCAGAAGCTGATGTGATCAACTGGAAGAAAGTGTATCAGAGATGAAGGCAAAATGAGTGAAATGAAGCAAGAAGAGAAGTTTAGAGAAAAAAGAATGAAAAGAAAAGAACAAAGCCTCCAAAAGATATGGGACAGTGTGAAAAGATGAAATCTACGTATGATTGGTGTACCTGAAAGTGACAGGGAGAATAGAACCAAGTTGGAAAACACTCTGCAGGATATTATCCAGGAGAACTTCCCCAATCTAGCAAGGCAGGCCAACATTCAAATTCAGGAAGTACAGAGAATGCCAAAAAGAAACTCCTCGAGAAGAGCAACTCCAAGACACATAATTGTCAGATTTACCAAACTTGAAATGAAGGAAAAAATATTAAGGGCAGCCAGAGAGAAAGGTCGGGTTACCCACAAAGGGAAGCCCAACAGACTAACAGCTAATCTCTCAGCAGAAAAGCTACAAGCCAGAAGAGAGTGGGGACCAACATTCAACATTCTTAAAGAAAAGAATTTTCAACCCAGAATCTCATATCCAGCTAAACTAAGCTTCATAAAGTGAAGGAGAAATAAAATACTTTACAGACAAGCAAATGCTGAGAGATTTTGTCACCAGCAGGCCTGCCCTAAAAGAGCTCCTCAAGGAAGCACTAAACATCGAAAGGAACAACCGGCACCAGCCACTGCAAAAACATGCCAAATTATAAAGACAATCAAGGCTAGGAAGAAACTGCATCATCTAACGAGCAAAAAAACCAACTACCATCATAATGACAAGATCAAATTCACACGTAACAATATTAAATTTAAATGTAAATGGCCTAAATGCCCCAATTAAAAGACACACACTGGCATAATGGACAAAGAGTCAAGATCCATCAGTGTGCTGTATTCAGGAAGCCCATCTCAACTGCAGAGACACACATAGGCTCAAAATAAAGGGATGGAGGAAGATCTATGAAGCAAATGGAAAACAAAAAAAGGCAGGGGTTGCAATCCTGGTCTTGGACAAAACAGACTTTAAACCAACAAAGATCACAAGAGACAAAGAAGGCCATTACATAATGGTAAAGGGATCAATTCAACAAGAACAGCTAACTATCCTAAATATATATGCACCCAATACAGGCACACCCAGATTCATAAAGCAAGTCCTTAGTGACCTACAAAGAGACTTAGACTCCCACACAATAATAATGGGAGACTTTAACATCCCACTGTCAACATTTGACAGATCAATGAGACAGAAAGTTAACAAGAATGCCCAGGAATTGAACTCAGCCCTGCACCAAGCGGACCTAATAGATACCTTCAGAACTCTCCACCCCAAATCAACAGATTATACATTCTTTTAAGCACCACACCACACCTACTCCAAAATTGACCACGTAGTTGGAAGTAAGCACTCCTCAGCAAATGTAAAGAACAGAAATTATAACAAACTGTCTCTCAGACCACAGTACAATCAAACTAGAATTCAGGATTAAGAACCTCACTCAAAACCACTCAACTACATGGGAACTGAACAACCTGCTCCTGAATGACTACAGGGTACGTAATGAAATGAAGGCAGAAATAAAGATGTTCTTTGAAACCAATTATAACAAAGACACAACATACCAGAATCTGTGGGACACATTCAAAGCAGTGTGTAGAGGGAAATTTATAGCACTAAATGCCCACAAGAGAAAGCAGAAAAGATCTAAAATTGACACTCTAACATCACAATTAAAAGAACAAGAAAAGCAACAGCAAACACATTCAAAAACCAGCAGAAGGCAAGAAATAACTAAGATCAGAGTGGAACTGAAGGAAATAGAGACAAAAAAAAACCTTCAAAAAATTAATGAATCCAGGATCTGGTTTTCTGAAAACATCAACAAAATTGATAGACCACTAGCAAGATTAATAAAGAAGAAAAGAGAGAAGAATCAAATAGACACAATAAAAAATGAGAAAGGGGATATCACCACCAATCCCAAAGAAATACAAACTACCATCAGAGAATACTATAAACACCTCTATTCAAATAAACTAGAAAATCTAGAAGAAATGGATAAATTCCTCAACACATACATCCTCCCAAGACTAAACCAGGAAGAAGCTGAATCTCTGAATAGACCTGTAACAGGCTCTGAAATTGTGGCAATAATCAATAGCTTACCAACCAAAAAAAGTCCACGACCGGATGGAT
The DNA here is from genome assembly GCF_000001405.40 of Homo sapiens. Lineage (NCBI taxonomy): Eukaryota > Metazoa > Chordata > Mammalia > Primates > Hominidae > Homo > Homo sapiens. Next base: position 54,583,931 of record NC_000011.10, on the reverse strand, counting down.
TGACAGCCAAATTCCACCAGAGGTACAAAGAGGAGCTGGTACCATTATTTCTGAAACTATTCTTATCAAAAGAAAAAGAGGGAATCCTCCCTAACTCATTTTATGAAGTCAGCATCATCCTGATACCAAAGCCTGGCAGAGACACAACAAAAAAGAGAATTTTACACCAATATCCTTGATGAACATTGGTGCAAAAATCCTCAAAAAAATACTGGCAAACCGAATCCAGCAGCACATCAAAAAGCTTATCCAACATGATCAAGTGGGCTTCATCCCTGAAATGCAAGGCTACTTCAACATACACAAATCAATAAATATAATCCAACATATAAACAGAATGAAAGACAAAAAACACATGATTATCTCAATAGATGCAGAAAAGGCCTTTGACTAAATTCAACAACACTTCATGCTAAAAACTCTCAATAAATTATTTATTTATGGGATGTATCTCAAAATAAGAAGAGCTATTTATGACAAAACCACAGAAAATATAATGAATGGACAAAAACTGGAAGCATTCCCTTTGAAAACTGGCACAAGACAGGGCTGCCCTCTCTCACCACTCCTATTCAACGTAGTGTTGGAAGTTCTGGCCAGGGCAATTAGGCAGGAGAAGGAAATAAAGGGTATTCTATTAGGAAAAGAGGAAGTCAAATTGTCCCTGTTTGCAGATGACATGATTGTATATCTAGAAAACCCGATTATCACAGCCCAAAATCTCCTCAAGCTGATAAACAACTTCAGCAAAGTCTAGGATACAAAATCAACATATAAAAATCACAAGCATTATTATACACCAATAACAGAAAAACTGAGAGCCAAATCATGAGTGAACTCCCATTCACAATTGCTTCAAAGAGAAGAAAATACCTAGGAATCCAACTTACAAGGGATGTGAAGGACCTCTTCAAGGAGAACTACAAACCACTGCTCAATGAAATAAAAGAGGATACAAACAAATGAAAGACCATTCCATGCTCATGGGTAGGAAGAATCAATATCGTGAAAATGGCCATACTGCCCAAGGTAATTTATAGATTCAATGCCATCCCCAACAAGCTACCAATGACTTTCTTCACAGAATTTGAAAAAACTACTTTAAAGTTCATATGGAACCAAAACAGAGCCCGCAACACCAAGTCAATCCTAAGCCAAAAGAAGAAAGCCGGAGGCATCACGCTACCTGACTTCAAACTATACTACAAGGCTCCAGTAACCAAAGCAGCATGGTACTGGCACCAAAACAGAGGTATACACCAATGGAACACAACAGAGCCCTCATATATAATGCCATGTATCTACAACTATCTGACCTTTGACAAACCTGAGAAAAACAAGCAATGGGGAAAGGATTCCCTATTTAATCAATGGTGCTGGGAAAACTGGCTAGCCATATGTAGAAATCTGAAACTGGATCTCTTCCTTACACCTTATACAAAAATTATTCAAGATGGATTAAAGACTTAAATGTTAGACCTAAAACCATCAAAACCCTAGAAGAAAACCTAGGCAATACCATTCAGGACATAGGCATGGGCAAGGACTTCATGTCTAAAACACCAAAAGCAATGACAACAAAAGCCAAAATTGACAAATGGGATCTAATTAAACTAAAGAGCTTCTGCACGGCAAAAGAAACTACCATCAGAATGAACAGGCAACCTACAGAATGGGAGAAAATTTTTGCAACCTACTCATCGGAGAAAGGGCTAATATCCACAATCTACAATGAACTCAAACAAATTTACAAGAAAAAAACAAACAACCCCATCAAAAACTGGGTGAAGGACATGAATAGACACTTCTCAAAAGAAGACATTTATGCAGCCAAAAGACACATGAAAAAATGTTCATCATCACTGGACATCAGAGAAATGCAAACCAAAACCACAATGAGATACCATCTCATGCCAATTAGAATGGCGATCATTAAAAAGTGAGGAAACAACAGGTGCTGGAGAGGATGTGGATAAATAGGAATACTTTTACACTGTTGGTGGGACAGTAAACTAGTTCAACCATTGTGGAAGTCCGTGTGGCGATTCCTCAGGGATATAGAACTAGAAATACCATTTGAACCAGCCATCCCATTACTGGGTATATATCCAAAGGATTATAAATCATGCTGCTATAAAGGCACACGCACATGTATGTTTACTGTGGCACTATTCACAATAGCAAAGATTTGGAACCAAGCTAAATGTCCAACAATGATAGACTGGATTAAGAAAATGTGGCACATATAGACCGTGGAATACTATGCAGCCATAAAAAATGATGAGTTCATGTTTTTTGTAGGGACATGGATGAATCTGGAAACCGTCATTCTCAGCAAACTGTCGCTAGGTCAAAAAACCAAACACCGCATGTTCTCACTCATAGGTGGGAATTGAACAATGAGAACACATGGACACAGGAAGGGGAACATCACACACTGGGGACTGTTGTGGGGTGGGGGTGGGGGGAGGGGGGAGGGATAGCATTAGGAGATATACCTAATGGTAAATGACGAGTTAATGGGTGCAGCACACCAACATGGCACATGTATACATACATAACAAACCTGCACGTTGTGCACATGTACCCTAAAACTTAAAGTATAATAATAAAATTTAAAAAAAAGAAATTTATATTTCATTTGACCCAGAATTTTCACCCTTGAGGATTTATCCTACAAACGCATATAAATGGGAAAATATATGTGTATAGGTTATGGATGGTGTCATTGTTTCAACAGCAAAAGAAATGTATACCATTTAATTTTCATAATGAAGAATTGGTTTTAAAAATTGTGATACACTCTAACTAAGGAATACTATACAGGTGTAAAATGAAGGAGGACACATTTTGTGTACTGATGTGGAAAGATTCTAAATATATATACTTATGTAAAACTATATATATATATAAATGTATATAGCATGCTATTGTTTGTGTAAAAGTAACAAGAAAATATATTTGAAAAAAAGAAAAAAGAAAAAAATTAAAAAAAAAAAACCAATGCAGTTAAAAAAAAAGAATAAAGGACACAAATATTCTAACAATACCCCCTCTCTTATTCTGCCTTTAAAATAAGAAAACAGCTTCTCTTGAATCATAGTGTTTGGAGAGGATATTGAGAACATTAAAGGATTTATCATTATATCTAAGGCTTTGTCCTCCCAGGGATTAATTATCTCAGTTTTTAAAAGATTTTTCCTTAGAAACAGATATTTGGGAGTATTTGTCTATTAACAAACTATCTTCACCTGATTAGATTTTTCCCTGCATTTTAACTTATTAACATCCTACATCCCTGGCCTGCAATATTATGCAACAAAGCCCTCCTTTTATAAGCCGTTAGGTGTCATGAAGGATTCTAAATGCTTGTGGATAACAAAATGGGGTTTCATTCAGGTTGAATATTTCCGAGGAAATTTCCTCACTGTCTGAGTTACAGAGGAGGCTGAGATTCTGAATCAATCTCTCAACTGTACTATAAACACATCAGGACACATTCCACCAATAGAGATGAACCTTGGAACTTGACGCACTTTCAGGCAGAGTGGTATCTGAGGTTGGGAGGCAAATTGAAGCTAAAATCCTAGAGTCAACTTTTCTAGTGTAAAAATTCAAAAAGATTTGTATGCCTTCCCATTGACATTTTTTGGAAGTCTAGAAATTCCAACGGCCATTCAATAGAAAAAGCCTCACCTAGGCAAAGAGACTTCAAATTTACTTCACACATAATTTCCAGGACAGTGGAAATTTGCAAACCAAATATGTTCTGCCATCTTGCAAACATATATTACAGCAACTACTCTGCAGTCTGAAGAATAGAATGCTGTTTAAATCACATATCATAAGAGTTGTAACTGCTGATATATTTTAAAATATGGGTAAGCAGTGAATGGAGAACGAAGAAAAATAGCATAATACCAGCTATCATTACTGAACACTATGTCCTTTATTCTATCGACATAGTGAATAACATTGACTGTTTTTTTTTTATTGAAACAGCCTTATATTCCTAATTATTTAGGAATTATATCCCAAATTACATATTTAGGATTTATATCTCAGTTAGTCATGGTGTATATTTCCTTTCATAGGCTACTGACTGCCATTCGCAAAACTTTTATTGAGAATTTTTGTATTAATATCTATTTTCATAAGATATGGTTGCAGTTTTCTTTTTTTCTTTATTTTAACTTTATTCTTATACCTTAAGTTTTAGGGTACATGTGCACAACGTGCAGGTTTGTTACATATGCAAACATGTGCCATGTTGGTATGCTGCACCCATTAACTCGTCATTTACCAATAGGTATATCTCCTAATGCTATCCCTCCCCCCTCCCCACACCCCAAAACTGTCCCCAGTGTGTGATGTTCCCCTTCCTGTGTCCATGTGTTCTCATTGTTCAATTCCCACCTATGAGTGAGAACATGCGGTGTTTGGTTTTTTGTCCTTGTGACAGTTCGCTGAGAATGATGATTTCCAGATACATCCATGTCCCTACAAAAAACATGAACTCATCATTTTATGGCTGCATAGTATTCCACGGTCTATATGTGCCACATTTTCTTAATCCAGTCTATCATTGTTGGACATTTGGCTTGGTTCCAATTCTTTGCTATTGTGAATAGTGCCACAGTAAACATACATGTGCATGTGCCTTTATAGCAGCATGATTTATAATCCTTTGGGTATATACCCAGTAATGGGATGGCTGGGTCAAATGGTATTTCTAGTTCTAGATCCCTGAGGAATCGCCACACGGACTTCCACAATGGTTGAACTAGTTTACTGTCCCACCAACAGCGTAAAAGTGTTCCTATTTATCCACATCCTCTCCAGCACCTGTTGTTTCCTCACTTTTTAATGATTGCCATTCTAACTGGTGTGAGATGGTATCTCATTGTGGTTTTGATTTGCATTTCTCTGATGGCCAGCGATGATGAGCATTTTTTCATGTGTTTTTTGGCTGCATAAACGTCTTCTTTTGAGAAGTGTCTGTTCATATCCTTCACCCAGTTTTTGATGGGGTTGTTTGTTTTTTTCTTGTAAATTTGTTTGAGTTCATTGTAGATTCTGGATATTAGCCCTTTGTCAGATGAGTAGGTTGCGAAAATTTTCTCCCATTTTGTAGGTTGCCTGTTCACTCTGATGGTAGTTTCTTTTGCTGTGCAGAAGCTCTTTAATTAGATCCTATTTGTCAATTTTGGCTTTTGTTTCCATTGCTTTTGGTGTTTTAGACATTAAGTCCTAGCCTATGTCCTGAATGGTATTGCCTAGGTTCTCTTCTAGGGTTTTTATGGTTTTATTTGTAATATTTAAGTCTTTAATCCATCTTGAATTAATTTTTGTATAAGGTGTAAGGAAGGGATCCAGTTTCAGCTTTCTACATATGGCTAGCCAGTTTTCCCAGCACCATTTGTTAAATAGGGAATCATTTCCCCGTTGCTTGTTTTTCTCAGGTTTGTGAAAGATCAGATAGTTGTAGATATGCGGCATTATTTCTGAGGGCTCTCTTCTGTTCCATTGATCTATATCTCTGTTTTGGTACCAGTACCATGCTGTTTTGGTTACTGGAGCCTTGTAGTATTGTTTGAAGTCAGGTAGCGTGATGTCTCCAGCTTTGTTCTTTTGGGTTAGGATTGATGTGGCAAGGTGGGCTCTTTTTTGGTTCCATATGAACTTTAAGGTAGTTTCTTCCAATTCTGTGAAGAAAGTCATTGTTAGCGTGTTGGGGATGGCATTGAATCTATAAATTACCTTAGGCAGTGTGGCCATTTTTGCGATATTGATTCTTCCTACCCATGAGCATGGAATGTTCTTCATTTTGTTTGTATTCTCTTTCATTTCATTGAGTAGTGGTTTGTAGTCTCCTTGAAGAGGTCCTTTGCGTCCCTTGTAAGGTGGATTCCTAGGTATTTTATTCTCTTTGAAGCAATTGTGAATGGGAGTTCACTCATGATTTGGCTCTCTGTTTGTCTGTTATTGGTGTATAAGAATGCTTGTGATTTTTGCACATTGATTTTGTATCCTGAGACTTTGCTGAAGTTGCCTATCAGCTTAAGGAGATTTTGGGCTGAGACAATGGGGATTTCTAGATATACAATCATGTCATCTGCACACAGGGACAATTTGACTTCCTCTTTTCCTAATTGGATACCCTTTATTTCCTACTCCTGCCTGATTGCCTTTGTCACAACTTCCAACAGTATGTTGAATAGAGGTGGTGAGAGAGGGCATCCCTGTCTTGTGCCAGTTTTCAAAGGGAATGCTTCCAGTTTTTGCCCATACACTATGGTATTGGCTGTGGGTTTGTCATAGATAGCTCTTTTTATTTTGAGATATGTCCCGTCAATACCTAATTTATTGAGAGTTTTTAGCATGAAGTGTTGTTGAATTTTGTCAAAGGCCTTTTCTGCATCTATTGAGATAATCATGTGGTTTTTGTCTTTGGTTCTGTTTATATGCTGGATTACATTTATTGCTTTTGGTATGTTGAACCAGCCTTGCATCCCAGGGATGAAGCCCACTTGATCATGGTGGATAAGCTTTTTGATGTGCTGCTGGATTCAGTTTGCCAGTATTTTATTCAGGATTTTTGCATCAATGTCCATCAGGGATATTGGTCGAAAATTCTCTGTTTTTGTTGTGTCTCTGCCACGCTTTGATATCAGGATAATGCTAGCCTCATAAAATCACTTAGGGAGGATTCCCTCTTTTTCTGTTCATTGGAATAATTTCAGAAGGAATGGTACCAGCTCCTCCTTGTACATCTGGTGGAATTCGGCTGTGAATCCATCAGGTCCTGGACTTTCTTTGGTTGGTAAACTTTTAATTATTGCCTAAATTTCAGAGCCTGTTATTGGTCTATTCAGAGATTCAGCTTCTTCCTGGTTTAGCCCTGGGAGTGTGTATGTGTCGAGGAATTTTTCCATTTCTTCTAGATTTTCTAGTTTATTCGCATAGAGGTGTTTATATTATTCTCTGATGGTAGTTTGTATTTCTGTGGGATCGGTGGTGATATCCCCTTTCTCATTTTTTATTGCATCTATTTGATTCTTCTCTCCTTTCTTCTTTATTAGTCTTGCTAGCGGTCTATCAATTTTGTTGATCTTTTCAAAAAACCAGCTCCTGGATTCATTAATTTTTTGAAGAGTTTTTTGTGTCTCTATTTCCTTCAGTTCCATTCTGATCTTAGTTGTTTCTTGCCATCTGCTACCTTTTGAATGTGTTAGCTGTTGCTTTTCTAGTTATTTTAATTGTGATGTTAGGGTGTCAATTTTAGATCTTTTCTGCTTTCTCTTGTGGGCATTTTGTGCTATAAATTTCCCTCTACACACTGCTTTGAATGTGTCCCAGAGATTCTGGTATGTTGTGTCTTTGTTCTCATTGGTTTCAAAGAACATCTTTATTTCTGCCTTCATTTCATTGTTTACCCAGTAGTCACTCAGAAGCAGGTTGTTCAGTTCCCATGTAGTTGAGTGGTTTTGAGTGAGTTTCTTAATCATGAGTTCTAGTTTGACTGCACTGTGATCTGAGCGACAGTTTGTTATAATTTCTGTTCCTTTACATTTGCTGAGGAGTGCTTTACTTCTAAGTATGTGGTCAGTTTTGGAATAGGTATGGTGTGGTGCTGAAAAAAATGTATATTCTGTTGATTTGGGGTGGAGAGTTCTGTAGATGTCTATTAGGTCCGCTTGGTGCAGAGCTGAGTTCAACTCCTGGATATCCTTATTAACTTTCTGTCTCATTGATCTGTCTAATGCTGACAGAGGCGTGTTAAAGTCTCCCACCGTTATTGTGTGGGAGTCAACGTCTCTTTTGTAGGTCACTAAGGCCTTGCTTTATGAATCTAGGTGCTCCTGTATTGGGTGCATATATATTTAGGATGGTTAGTTCTTCTTGTTGAATTGATCCCTTTACCATTATGTAATGGCCTTCTTTGTCTCTTTTCATCTTTGTGGTTTAAAGTCTGTTTTATCTGAGACTAGGATTCCCACCCCTGCCTTTTTTTGTTTTCCATTTGCTTGGTAGATCTTCCTCCATCCCTTTACTTTGAGCCTATGTGTGTCTCTGCACGTGAGATGGGTTCCATGAATACAGCACACTGATGGGTCTTGACTCTTTATCCAATTTGCCAGTCTTTGTCTTTTAATTGGAGCATTTAGCCCATTTACATTTAAATTTAATACTGTTACGTGTGAATTTGATCCTGTCATTATGATGGTAGCTGGTTATTTTGCTCTTTAGTTGATGCAGTTTCTTCCTAGCCTTGATTGTCTTGACAATTTGGCATGTTTTTGCAGTGGCTGGTACTGATTTTTCCTTTCGATGTTTAGTGCTTCCTTCAGGAGCTCTTTTAGGGCAAGCCTGGTGGTGACAAAATCTCTCAGCATTTGCTTGTCTGTAAAGTATTTTATTTCTCCTTCACTTATGAAGCTTAGTTTGGCTGGATATGAAATTCTGGGTTGAAAATTCTTTTCTTTAAGAATGTTGAATATTGGCCCCCACTCTCTTCTGGCTTGTAGAGTTTCTGCCGAGATCTGCTGTTAGTGTGATGGGCTTCCCTTTGTGGGTAACCTGACCTTTCTCTCTGGCTGCCCTTAACATTTTTTCCTTCTTTTCAATTTTTGTGAATCTGACAATTATGTGTCTTGGAGTTGCTCTTCTCGAGGAGTAACTTTGTGGCATTCTCTGTATTTCCTGAATTTGAATGTTGGCCTACCTTGCTAGATTGGGAAAGTTCTCCTGGATAATATCCTGCATAGTGTTTTCCAATTTGCTTCCATTCTCCTTGTCACTTTCTGGTACACCAGTCAGATGTAGATTTGGTCTTTTCACATAGTCCCATATTTCTTGGACGCTTTTTTTTCTTTTTTCTCTAAACTTTTCTTCTCACTTCATTTCATTCATTTCATCTTCCATCGCTGATACCCTTTCTTCCAGTTGATCGAATAGGCTACTGAGGCTTGTGCATTCGTCATGTCATTCTTGTGCCATGATTTTCTGCTCCATCAGGTCTTTTAAGGACTTCTCTGCATTGGTTATTCTAGTTAGCCATTCATCTAATTTTTTTTCAAGGTTTTTAACTTCTTTGCCATTGGTCTGAACTTCCTCCTTTAGCTCGGAATAGTTTGATCTTCTGAAGCCTTCTCTCAAATTGTCAAAGTCATTCTCCATCCAACTTTGTTCCATTGCTGGTGCAGAGCTGCATTCCTTTGGAGGAGGAGAGGCACTCTGATTTTTAGATTTTCCAGTTTTTCTGCTCTGATTTTTCCCCATCTTTGTTGTTTTATCTACCTTGGGTCTTTGATGGTGACATACAGATGGGTTTTTGGTGTGGATGACTTTTCTCTTTGTTAGTTTTCCTTCTAACTCTCAGGACCCTCAGCTACAGGTCTGTTAGAGTTTCCTAGAGGTCCACTCCAGACCCTGTTTGCCTGGGTATTGGCAGCGGTGGCTGCAGAACAGCGGATATTGGTCAACCACAAATGCTGCTGCCTGATCGCTCCTCTGGAAGTTTTGTCTCAGAGGAGTACCCGGCCGTGTGAGGTGTCATTCTGCCCCTACTGGGGGGTGCCTCCCAGTTAGGCTACTCGGTGGTCAGGGACCAACTTGAGGAGGCAGACTGCCCATTCTCAGATCTCCAGCTGCGTTCTGGGAGAACCATTACTCTCTTCAAAGCTGTCAGACAGGGACATTTAAGTCTGCAGAGGTTAGTGCTGCCTTTTGGTTGCCTGTGCCCTGCCTCCAGAGGTGGAGCCTACAAAGGCAGGCAGGCCTCCTTGAGCTGTGGTGGGCTCCACCCAGTTTGAGCTTCCTGGCCACTTTGTTTACCAACTCAAGCATGGGCAATGATGGACCCCCCTCCCCCAGCCTCGCTGCTGCCTTGCAGTTTGATCTCAGACTGCTGTGCTAGCAATGAGCAAGGCTTCATGGGTGTAGGACCCTCTGAGCCATGTGCGGGATATAATGTCCTGGTGTGCTGTTTGTTAATCCCATTGAAAAAGCGCAGTATTAGGGTGGGAGTGACCAATTTTGCAGGTGCCATCTGTCACCCCTTTCTTTGACTAGGAAAGGGAATTCCCTGACCCCTTGTGCTTTTTCTTTTCTTATGATATCTTTGTTTCACTTTGGCATCAGGGTAATACTTGTATCATAGAATGAGTTGGGAATTGTTCTCTATTTTTTAGAAAACGTTGTGGAGGATTGGTGTTAATTCTTCCTTAAACGCATGATAAAATTCACCAGTGAAGCCATCTTGGCCTGGGTTTTCTTTGTGAGAAATATTTTTATTACTAATTCAATATCTTTACTTATTATACTATGTTCAGATCATCTATTAAGTCAATTTCAGTGGCTTGTGTCTTTCTAAGAATGTATCCATTTTATCTAAGTCATATAATTTGTTGCATATTATGGCTTATAGTATCCCTTATAATCCTTTTCATTTTTTAAGGTCAGTAGTAATGTCTCTCATTCCTGATTTTAGTAATTTGAGTCTTCCATCTCTTTTCTTTCTTGGTCAATCTAGCTAGAGATTTGTCACTTTGGTGATCTTTTTAAAGAATCCTCTTCGGTTTTGTTGTTTTTTTATTCTCTATTCTATTCTCTAATTCATTTGTTTTTGCTCTAGTCCTTGCTGTTTCCTTCCTTCTGCTTACTTTAGGTTTAGTTTGCTCTCATTTTCCAATGTCTTAATGGGAGCAGGCAAAGTGATTTATTTCAGATCTTTCTTCTTTTTTAAATGTACACATTAACAGCTACAAATTTCCCACTAAGCACTGCTTTAGATGCATTCTATAGGTTATGTTATGGTGTCTTCATCTTCTCTTATCTCAAAGTATTTTCTAATTTCCCTCGTGATTTCCTCTTTGATGCACTGGTTATTTAAAAACGTGTTGTTTAATTTTTACATATTTGTGAATTTCCCAAATTTCCTTCTATGATGATCTTTAATTTCATTACATTCTGGAGAACATACTTTGTCTAATTCTTTTAACTGTATTGAGTCTTGTTTTAGGTTACATATGGTTTAACCTCGAGAATGTTGCATGTGCACTTGAAAAGAGTGTATATTATGCTGTTGTTGAAGATAATATAGTATAAATGTAGTTAGGTTTACACCTAAAAGAGTACTGTTATGTATACTTGCTTTATAGCATTGTGTAAGTCTTGTTTTCTTGATGAGCTTCTGCCTAGCTGTCTATCCATTATTGAGAGTGAGATATCAAAGTCTCCACCTATTGTTGTCAAATTGTCTATTTCTCTTTTCTACTGTGTTAGTTTTTACTTCATATATTTTGGGTCTCTGTTATTAGATGCACATAGGTCTATAATTATTATAGACATTGTAACATGGGATTAGCACCCTTATAAAAGGTAAAATCCCCAGAGAGATCTCTTGCCCCTTTCACCATCTGAGATTATGGCACATGGCCATCTAGAACCAGGAAATGGACCCTTATGCCAGATACCAAATCTGCCAACGCCTTGATCCAAGCCTTCGGAACTATAAGAAAAATATTTCTATTGTTTATAAGCAGCTCATGGTGAATTGATTGGTATAACCTTATAAAATATCCTTCTCCATCTCTAATAGCAATTTATCCCTTAAATTTCATTTTGTCTGATATTACTATTAGCTAAAATATAGCCACTTCAGCTATCCTTTGCTTACTGTTTGTGTGGTTTATATTTTTTCAAGCTTTTGCTTTCAACTTATTTGGGTCTTTGAATCTAAAGATGGCTCTTGTAAACAACATATATTTGGATCATGTTTTTATATCTAGTTCAGATAAACGCCAACTTAAATACAACAGTACATAAGAATAGCACTTCTACATATCTCTATTCTCTCCCTTCTATTTTGTGTTTTTATTGCCATACAAATTACATCTTTACACATTGCATATCCATCAACACATATTTATAATTATTGCTTTATGCAGTTGTCTTTTAAATCAGATAAGAGGAAAACAAGTAACAAGCTAAAATATGGAAATACTGTCTTCTATATTTATCTATGTACTTAGGTTTACCAAAGATTTTGCTTTCTTTATGTGAATTCAAATTATTGTCTGGTGGGATTTTATTTCAGCCTGAAGGACTTCTTTTTTTTCTTTTTTTATTATTATTATACTTTAAGTTTTAGGGTACATGTGCACAATGTGCAGGTTAGTTACATATGTGTACATGTGCCATGCTGGTGTGCTGCACCCATTAACTTGTCATTTAGCATTAGGTATATCTCCTAATGCTATCCCTCCCCCCTTCCCCCACCCCACAACAGTCCCCAGTGTGTGATGTTCCCCTTCCTGTGTCCATGTGTTCTCATTGTTCAATTCCCACCTATGAGTGAAAACATGCAGTGTTTGGTTTTTTATCCTTGTGATAGTTTACTGAGAATGATGATTTCCAATTTCATCCATGTCTCTACAAAGGACATGAACTCATCATTTTTTATGGCTGCATAGTATTTCATGGTGTATATATGCTACAGTTTCTTAATCCAGTCTATCCTTGTTGGACATTTGGGTTGGTTCCATGTCTTTGCTATTGTTAATAGTGCCACAATAAACATACATGTGCATGTGTCCTTATAGCAGCATGATTTATAGTCCTTTGGGTATATACCCAGTAATGGGATGGCTGGGTCAAATGGTATTTCTAGTTCTAGATCCCTGATCTTTGACAAACCTGAGAAAAACAAGCAATGGGGAAAGGATTCCCTATTTAATAAATGGTGATGGGAAAACTGGCTAGCCATATGTAGAAAGCTGAAACTGGATCCCTTCTTTACACCGTATGCAAAAATTAATTCAAGGTGGATTAAAGACTTAAACATTAGACCTAAAACCATAAAAACCCTAGAAGAAAACCTAGGCATTACCATTCAGGACATAGGCATAGGTAAGGACTTCATGTCTAAAACACCAAAAGCAATGGCAACAAAAGCCAAAATTGACAAATGGGATCTAATTAAACTAAAGAGTTTCTGCACAGCAAAAGAAACTACCATCAGAGTGAACAGGCAACCCACAAAATGGGAGAAATTTTTCACAACCTACTCATCTGACAAAGGGCTAATATCCAGAATCTACAATGAACTCAAACAAATTTACAAGAAGAAAACAAACAACCCCATCAAAAAGTGGACGAAGGACATGAACAGACACTTCTCAAAAGAAGACATTTATGCAGCCAAAAAACACATGAAAAAATGCTCACCATCACTGGCCATCAGAGAAATGCAAATCAAAACCACAATGAGATACCATCTCACACCAGTTAGAATGAAGGACTTCTTTAGTATTTCTTAAAGAGAAGACCTGCTAACAATAAAGCTTCTCTGTTTTTGTTTGCCTAGGAACATCTTAATTTCTCCTTCATTTTCAAAGGGTAATTTCAATGGACAGGGAATTCTTGGTTGACAGTCTTTTCTTTTCTGTACTTTGAATATGTTATCCAACTTCCTCCTGACCTTTATCACTTCTGATGAGAAATCAGCTGTTTGGTTAAGGAGAATCTCTTAGATATGATAAGTCACTTCTCTTTTGCTGCTTTCAAGATTCTCCCACTGTGTTTGGTTATAATAGTTTGATTATGATCCCATAATCTCTTTCAATTTATCCTATTTAGAATTTTAGGAGATTTTTGGATGCATAAATTAATTTTTGGACACATTTTAGGCCATCATTTTTTTCCAAATATTCTTTCTGCCTCTTTCTTTTCTCTCCCTCTGGAAACCCCATTGTACATATGGTGGTATTTTTAATGATGCTTGATAGGTCTCTGGGGTCCTGTTCATTTTTTCTTCCTTTCTTTCTCTTTCTGCTCCTCAGACTAGATGATTTCCATTGGCCTACCCAAGTTCACTTCTTTTTTATTCTGTCTACTCAAATCTGCTACTGAGCTCCCCTAGTGAATTTGTCATTTCAATTATTGTACATTTTACCTCTAGAATTTTCATTTGGTTCTTTTTTATAATTTCTATCTCTTTGTTAAAATGATCTATTTGCTGAGATATCATTCTGATACTTTTCTTTAGTTCTTAGACATAGTTTTATTTCCTTAAATATATACAAAATAACTAATTGAAAGTCTTTGTTTAGTAAGTCTGAAGTCTAGGCTTCCCCAGAGACAGTTTCTGTCAACTGCATTAGTCCCCTATGTACAGGCTGTACTTTCTTGTTTTTTACATGTATTATATTTTTCTTGTTATTGAAAACTGGATTATACATATATATACATGCCTATATATAAGTATACGTGTGTGTGTGTGCACATGCGTGTGTGCACACACTATTGTCAAAAAATTGTGTCCTTCCCAAAATTCATATGTTAAAACTTAATCTCCAATGTGAAGGTGTTTGAAGGTTGGGTCTTTGAGAGATGATTAGATCATGAAAGCGGAACTCTCACTAATAAGATAGGCACCTTATCTAAGAGATTCCCCCAGAGAGATCCCTTGCTCCTTCCCCCATGATAGATTATAACAAGAAGATGACCATCAAGAACAAGAAAGTGGATCCTCACCAGACACCAAATCTGCTGGTGTCTTGATCTTACGTTTTCCAAATTTCAGAACTTCAAGAAACAAATTCCTATTGATTATAAGTGACTTAGTCTATGGTATTTTGTTAAATCAGCCCAAATAGACTAATACAATGTGGCAATCCTGGAAATCATATTACTTTCCATCTCCAATGTTTATAATTGTTACTGTTTGTTGTTTTGTTGTTCTTGGGATTTGCATTTTTTAGACTAATTTTATGAGACATATTATTTTCTTATAAGCAGTCACTGAAGTCCCTGCTCAATAAGATTATTGATAAGTTAGTAATTACACAGAGATATCTTTAGAACCAATAAGTCTTACAGACTTTGCTAAGGGGTTCTATGTTTGTCTTGGGGCATGCCTTCACTACTCAGCCAGATAGCTTAAAACGTTTTTTTTGAGACAGAGTCTTGCTCTGTCACCCAGGGTGGAGTGCAGTGGCATGATCTCAGCTTACTGCAAGCTCCACCTCCCAGGTTACACCATTCTCCTGCCTCAGGCTCCTGAGTAGCTGGGACTACAGGTGCCCACCACCTCACCCAGCTAATTTTTTGTATTTTTAGTAGAGATGGGGTTTCACCATGTTAGCCAGGATGGTCTCAATCTCCTGACCTCATGATCTGCCTGCCTCAGCCTCCCAAAGTGCTGGGATTACAGGTGTGAGCCACCGCACCCAGCCAAGCTTAAAACTTTACCTTAGCTTTCATATCCTGCTTTCACAGGATCACAAGGTAAGCCAGAGGTGATAGCTTATGTCTTCCTGGGTCTTTCTTGAACATGTACAGAGTCCTGAGCATATACACAGTCCTGATATTCATTCCTCAGCTTTTATATTGAAGCCTTTTTGTTAGCCTGTTTTTTTCCTTACTTAATCTACTGCCTAAACCTGCTGCAATGTTTAAGAATTGCTTCTGATTGTTTTTGACAAATTTCTCCATGAAAAATGCTCCAAGTCAAGTCAAATAAAGGTATATTTGTGAGTTAGGTCTTCCAGGGAATGACCACATAGGTCAAATAATAACAATTATCTGGGTCTTCGAAAAAGCTCCAATCTCATTCTGCCCCTCCCAGTGGTTGCCAAGCTGCTGGGTATCAATGTGATTGCAGGCTGTTGTTTTTCAAGACTACAGAGAAGCTGTGCAGGGAAAATGAAAACAGGGTAAATTAAAATGACAATAACACTCCTTGTTATTTAGAGTTGGCCATTTTTCTTGCATAAGTACTCCTTGAACTGATGCAAGCTTTTGCTTAATTTCCAGAATTCTGAAAATGTTGAGTCTGACCATTCTTTCCAGTATTGTCCTTGCTCTAATGGAGGAGAGAATTTTAAAGGTTTTTACTACACTTTTGTAACTGGCATTGACATACTAAGCACTATGTGCTAGGATTCCTGCCCAATTTCAGTGTTTGAAATACATTACCTTTATTTTCAACTATATTTCTGAAAGTGTATATTCTTAGTCTCAATTTAGAGTTAAAGAAACAGCCACAGGCGCAACATAGAAGATTAGAAGGCTCCACTGATTGTCTCATGCCCTATTCCCTACAAGGACACATATTTAACAACTATCTATGGAGAAAACACATCTTCATGAGAACCAAAAATCAGGTGAGCACCCATATACCTGCTAGAGGCACCTCTACCTTTGGAAATGGGAAGGAAGAGAGAGAAGAACTGTATCTTGTGGCTTAAGTGCTGGCTCAGCCATAGTACAATAGAACAACATGTAATCTTCTAAGGTTTTTGACCCTAATCCCTGACTCCCAGATGGCATCTCTGGACCCACCCAGGGCCTGGGAACTTGCCACCCTGAAAAGAAGGACACAGGTATGGCAGGATTTGTCACCTGATTGTTATAGATCCCCAGGGCCTTGAATGAATATTTCCCCAGGAAGTGGTCATGGCAGGCCTTGAGCAAGACCCAGTGCTGTATTGGTTTCAGGTCTAACCCCGTGCAATCATAGTGGTGGTGGGTACATTCACCTCCATCATTAGGTAGCCCACAACAGAGGAAGAAAGATTCCATCTGAGAAAATTAAGGGAAGAGAACAAGAGTCTCTGCCTGGTAATCTGAGGAATTCTCACCAATCTTGTCCAAGACATCAAGATGGTACATCTACAGGTCTCTTTTATGCAGTTGTCTTTTAAATCAGATAAGATGAAAACAAGTAACAAGTCAAAATATGCAAATGCCATCTTCTATATTTACTTATGTAGTTTCATTTACCAGAGCTTTTGCTTTCTTCATGTGAATTCAAATTATTGTCTGGTGGAATTTTATTCAGTGTTACTGGGCTTCTACAGCAGATACAGTTTACATGACCACATCCCAATCCTTTCAAATATCTGGAAAGCCTTTCCAAGAAGGATGGGTACAAACAAGCCCAGAACATAAAGACTACAATAAATACCTAACTCTTCAATGCCCAGACACAGATAGACATCTACTGTCAACGCCACCATCTAGGAAAACAAGATCCCACCAAATAAAATAAATAAGGCACAGGGACCAATCCTGAAGAAATAAAGATATGTGACCCTTCAGGCAAACAATTTAAAATTGCTGTTTTGAGAAAACTCAAAGAAATTCAAGGTAACACAGAAAAGAAATTCAAAACTCTATCAAATAAACTTAACAAAGAGATTGAAATAATTTTAAGAGAATGAAGCAAAAATTCTGGAGCTGAAAAATGTATTTGGCATACTGAAGAATGCACCAAAGTCTTCTAAAGCAGAATTGCTCAAGCAGAAGAAAGAATTGGTGAGCTGGAGGACAAACTATTGAAAACAAATACAGTCAGAGGAAACAAAAGAAAACAAAATACAAAACATTGAAGACACATACAGGATCTAGAAAGTAGCCTCAGAGGGGAAATCTAAGAGTTATTGGCCTTAAAGGAAAGGTAGAGAAAGAGATAGAGGTAGGAAGTTTATTCAAAGGGATAATAACAGAGAACTTCCCAAACCTAGAGAAAGATATCAATATTCAACTATAAGAAGGTCATAGAACATCAAGAAATTTAACCCAAAGACGACTTCAAGGCATTTAATAATCAAACTCCCTAAGGTCAAGTATAAAGAAAGGACCTGGCAAGAAGGTTAGGGCCAAGATTGCTGAATAGGAGCAACTCCAGTCTACAACTCCCAGCGTGAGCAACACAGAAGACTAGTGATTTCTGCATTTCCAACTGAGGCACCAGGTTCATCTCACTGGACAGTGTCAGAAAATGGGTGCAGGATGGTGGTTGCAGCACACTGCGCATGAGCTGAAGAAGGGCAAGGCATCGCCTCACCCAGGAAGTGCAAAGGGTCAGGGAATTCCCTTTCCTAGTCAAAGGGGCGATAGATGGCACCTGAAAAATCGGGTCACTCCCACCCTAATACTGTGCTTTTCCAATGGTCTTAGCAAATGACACACCAGGAGATCATATCCCACGCCTGGCTCAGAGGGTCCTGTGCCCACGGAGGCTCACTCATTGCTAGCACAGCAGTCTGAGCTCAAACTGCAAGGCAGCAGCGAGGCTGAGGGAGAGGCGCCCACTATTGCTGAGGCTTGAGTAGGTAAACAAAGCAACCAAGAAGTTCGAACTGGGTGGAGCCCACCACAGCTCAAGGAGGTCTGGGTGACTCTGTAGACTCCACCTCTGGGGGCAGGGCAGAGCCAAACAAAAGGCAGCAGAAACCTCTGCAGGCTTAAATGTCCCTGTCTGACACCATTCAAGAGAGTAGTGGTTCTTCCAGCACACAGCTGGAGATCTGACGATGGAGAGACCGCCTCCTCAAGTGGGTCCCTGACCCCTGAGTAGCCTAACTGGGAGACACCACACAATAGGGGCAGACTGACACCTCACACGGCCGGGTACTCCTCTGAGACAAAACTTCCAGAGGAATGATCAGGCAGCAACATTTGCTGTCCACCAATATCCACTGTTCTGCAGCCTCCACTGCTGATACCCAGGAAAACAGGATCTGGAGTGGACCTCCAGCAAACTCCAACAGACCTGCAGCTGAGGGTCCTGACTGTTAGAAGGAAAACTAACAAACAGAAAGGACATCCACACCAAAACCCCATCTGTACATCACCATTGTCAAAGACCAAAGGTAGATAAAACCACAAAGATGGGGAAAAAATAGAGCAGAAAACCTGGAAACTCTAAAAATCAGTACACCTATCCTCCTCCAAAGGAACGCAGCTTCTCATCAGCAATAGAACAGAACTGGATGGAGAATGACCTTGATGAGTTGAGAGAAGGCTTCAGATGATCAAACTACTCCAAGCTAAAGGAAGAAGTTCGAACCCATGGCAAATAAGTTAAAAACCTTGAAAAAAAATTAGTCAAATGGCTAACTAGAATGACCAATGCAGAGAAGTCCTTAAAGGACCTGATGGAGCTGAAAGCCACGGCACAAGAACTACGTGATGAATGCACAAAGGCTCAGTAGCTGATTCAATCAACTGAAAGAAAGGGTGTCAGTGATGGAAGATCAAATGAATGAAATGAAACGAGAAGAGAAGTTTACAGAAAAAAGAATAAAAAGAAATGAGCAAAGCCTCCACTGTCAACATTAGACAGATCAATGAGACAGAAAGTTAACAAGGATATCCAGGAACTGAACTCAGCTCTGCAACAAGTGGGCCTAAAAGACATCTACAGAACTCTCCACCCCAAATCAACAGAATATACATTCTTTTCAGCAACACACCACACCTATTCCAAAATTGACCACATACTTGGAAGTAAAGCACTCCTCAGCAAATGTAAAGAACAGAAATTATAACAAACTCTCTCTCAGACCACAGTGCAATCAAACTAGAACTCAGGATTAAGAAACTCACTCAAAACCACTCAACTACATGGAAACTGAACAACCTGCTCCTGAGTGACTACTGGGTACATAACAAAATGAAGGCAGAAATAAAGATGTTCTTTGAAACCAATGAGAACAAAGACACAACACACCAGAATCTCTTGGACACATTCAAATCAGTGTGTAGAGGGAAATTTATAGCACTAAATGCCCACAAGAGAAAGCAGGAAAGATCCAAAATTGACACCCTAACATCACAATTAAAAGAACTAGAGAAGCAAGAGCGAATACATTCAAAAGCTAGCAGAAGGAAAGAAATAACTAATATCACAGCAGAACTGAAGGAAATGGAGACACAAAAACCCTTCAAAAAATTAATGAATCCAGGAGCTGTTTTTTTTAAAAGATCAACAAAATTGGTAAACCGCTGGCAAGACTAATGAAGAAAAGAGAGAAGAATCAAATCGACACAATAAAAAATGAGAAAGGGGATATCACCACTGATCCCACAGAAATACAAACTACCATCAGAGAATGACATAAACACCTCTAAGCAAATAAACTAGAAAATCTAGAAGAAATGGAAATATTCCTAGACACATACACCCTCCCTAGTCTAAACTAGGAAGAAGTTGAATCTCTGAATAGACCAATAACAGGCTCTGAAATTGTGGCAATAATCAATAGCTTACCAACCAAAAAAAGTCCAGGACCAGATGGATTCACAGCCGAATTCTACCAGAGGCACAAGGAGGAGCTGGTACCTTTCCTTCTGAAACTACTCTTATCAATAGAAAAAGAGGGAATCCTCCCTAACTCATTTTATGAGGCCAGCATCATCCTGATACCAAAGCCTGGCAGAGACACAACAAAAAAAGAGAATTTTAGACCAATATCCCTGATGAACATTGATGCAAAAATCCTGAATAAAATACTGGAAAACTGAATCCAGCAGCACATCAAAAAGCTTATCCACCATGATCAAGTGGGCTTCATACCTGGTAAGCAAGACTGGTTCAAGAGCTGCAAATCAATAAAAGTAATCCAGCACATAAGCAGAACCAAAGAAAAAACCACATGATTATCTCAATACATGCAGAAAAGGCCGTTGATGAAATCAAACAACCAATGCTTCATGCTAAAAACTCTCAATAAATTAGGTATTCATGGGAAGTATCTCAAAATAATAAGAGCTATCTATGACACACCCACAGCCAATATCATACTGAATGGACAAAAACTGGAAGCATTCCCTTTGAAAACGGGCACAAGACAGGGATGCCCCCTCTCACCACTCCTATTCAACACAGTGTTGGAAGTCCTGACCAGGGCAATCAGGCAGGAGAAGGAAATAAAGAGTATTCAATTAAGAAAAGAGGAAGTGAAATTGTCCCCGTTTGCAGATGACATGACTGTATATCTAGAAAACCCCATTGTTTCAGCCCAAAATCTCCTTAAGCTGATAGGCAACTACAGCAAAGTCTCAGGATACAAAATCGTGTGCAAAAGTCACAAGCATTCTTATACACCAATAACAGACAAAAAGAGAGCCAAATAATGAGTGAACTCCCATTCACAATTGCTTCAAATAGAATAAAATACCTAGGAATCCAACTTAAAAGGTACATGAAGGACCTCTTCAAGGAGAACTACAAACCGCTGCACAGTGAAATAAAAAAGGATACAAACAAAATGAAGAACATTCCATGCTCATGGGTAGGAAGAATCATTATCATGAAAATGGCCATGCTGCCCAAGGTAATTTATAGATTCAATGCCATCCCCATCAAGCTAACAATGACTTTCTTCACAGAATTGGAAAAAGCTACTTTAAAGTTCATATGGAAACCAAAAAGAGACTGCATTGCCAAGTCAATCCTAAGCCAAAAGAAGAAAGCCGGAGGCATCACGCTACCTGACTTCAAACTATACTACAAGGCTACAGTAACCAAAACAGCATGGTACTGGTACCAAAACAGAGATATACACCAATGGAACAGAACAGAGCCCTCAGAAATAATGCCACATATCTACAACTATCTGATCTTTGACAAACCTGAGAAAAACAAGCAGTGGGGAAAGGATTCCCTATTTAATAAATGATGCTGGGAAAACTGGCTTGCCATATGTAGAAAGCTGAAACTGGATCCTTTCCTTATGCCTTATACTAAAATTAATTCAAGATGGATTAAAAACTAAAACGTTAGACCTAAAACCATCAAAACCCTAGAAAAAAACCTAGGCAATACTATCGAGGACATAGGCATGGGCGAGGACTTCATGTCTAAAACACCAAAAGCAATGGTAACAAAAGTCAAAATTGACAAATGGGATCTAAGTAAACGAAAGAGCTTCTACACAGCAAAAGAAACCACCATCAGAGTGAACAGGCAACCTACAGAATGGGAGAAAATGTTTGCAATCTACTCATCTGACAAAGGGCTAATATCCAGAATCTACAAAGAACTCAAACAAATTTACAAGAATAAAACAAACAACCCCATCAAAAAGTGGGGAAAGGATATGAACAGACACTTCTCAAAAGAAGACATTTATGCAGCCAAAAGACACATGAAAAAATGCTCATCATCACTGGCCATCAGAGAAAGGCAAATCAAATCCACAATGAGATACCATCTCACACCAGTTAGAATGGTGATCATTAAAAAGTGAGGAAACAACAGGTGCTGGAGAGGATGTGGAGAAATAGGAACACTTTTACACTGTTGGTGGGACTGTAAACTAGTTCAACCATTGTGGAAGTCAGTGTGGCAATTCCTCAGGGATCTAGAACTAGAAATACCATTTCCCAAGCCATTCCATTACTGGGTATATACCCAAAGGATTATAAAACATGCTTCTATAAAGACACATGCACACGTATATTTATTGTGGCACTGTTCACAGTAGCAAAGACTTGGCACCAAGCCAAATGTTCAACAATGATAGACTGGATTAAGAAAATGTGGCACATATACACTATGGAATACTATGCAGCCTTAAAAACGTATGAGTTCCTGTCCTTTGTAGGGACACAGATGAAGCTGGAAACCATCATTCTCAATAAACTATTGCGAGGACAAAGAAACAAACACTGCATGTTGTCATTCATAGGTGGGAATTGAACAATGAGAACACATGGACACAGGAGGGGGAACATCACACACTGGGGCCTGTTGTGGGGTGAGGGGAGGGGAGAGCGATAGCATTAGGAGATATACCTAATGTTAAATGATGAGTTAATGGGTGCAGCACACCAACATGGCACATGTATACATATGTAACTCAGCTGCACATTGTGCACAAGTACCCTAAAACTGAAAGTATAATAAAAATAAATAAATAAATAAATGTAAAGAAAAAGAAAAGGAAAGGACCCTAAAAGCAACAAGAGAAAAGAATCAAATAACATAACAATGGAGCTCCAATATGCCTTGCAGTGGACTTTTCAATGGAAACCTTACAGGCCAGAAGAGAGTGGCATAACATATTTAAAGTGCTGATGGAAAAAATCCTTCTACCATAGAATAGGATATCTAGCAAAAATATCCTTCAAGCATGAAGGAGAAATACAAACTTTTCCAGACAAACAGAAGCTGAGGGATTTCATGAAGAGCAGACCTGTCCAACAAGAAATTCTAAAGGGAGTAAGTACTTCAGTCAGAAAGAAAAGAATGTTAATGAGCAATAAGTAATCATCTGAAGGTACAAAACTCACTGGTCATAGAAAGTACACAGAAAACACAGAATATTATAACTGTGGTATATAAACTAGTCTTATCCTAAGTAGAAAAACTTAACAATGAGCCAATCAAAAATAATAACTGCAACAACTTTTCAGGACATAAACAGTACAATAAGATATAAATAGTAGAAGCAACAAAAAGTTAAAAAGCAGAGGGACAAAGTTAAGATGTGGAGTTCTTGTTTTCTTTTTGCTTGTTTGTTTGTACAAACAGTGTTAAGTTGTTATCAGCCTAAAATAATCGGTTATAAGATAGCATTTGCAAGCCTCATGGTAACCTCAGACCAAGAAACATACAATGGGCCCATAAAAAATAAAAAGCAAGAAACTAATCATATCACCAGAGAAAATTATTTTCACTAATGAAGAATAGGAAGGAAAGAAAGCACTGACACAGGAGCTAGAAAGAAATTATTTAGGCATATAGTGAGAATAAGAGAGTCCTTGGTAAGGTTTCCCTGTTCATAAAAAGCAGCCCCAAAATCATTTCTTTTCTAACAAAGAACAGCCTGAAAAATCAAGATGCAGACATAGAAAAGCAAGCTGGAAGTTTGCATGGGTGAATGCTGGCAGCTGTGCCAATAGTAAAAGTCTACCTGGGGGCCAGGCATGGTCAACATGGAGGCTCCATCTTCCCTTTTCTTTGTCAACCACATGTGCAGTAAAGAAGCAGGCAACATGGCACTGACCAGGTAGAGAAACCTTTTGTATAATAAAAGATTAGAGGAGGCAGCCAGCTTTTTCACATACCAATCTTTTGGGCCTTATGTAAATCAGACACTGCCTCCTCAACCTCATCTATAAAAGCCCATGCAATTCACCACAGAACTGGAGGACCCACTCAGGAGTCCCTCTGTCTCTGCAGAAGAGAGAGCTTTTCTCTCACCTATTAAACCTCTGCATTTAGACTCACTTCTTGTGTGTCCACACCCTCAATTTCCTTGGAGTGAGACAATGAATGTAGGGTATTTACCAGAGACAAGCAATGCTGGTTCATTTTGGGGCCCCATGTGGGATGCAGGTATAATCATCAGAAGGGTGAGTATAGGAATGGACCATAACTCTGTCCTTGCATTTTGAGGCTCTCGGCCTCCATTTTAATATAAAATCAAACCAAATACTGGGCCCTTGTCAGCCATTTAAAAATGGTTAGATTGGCTGCCAGCCTTACAAGACCAGGGGACAAGCTTGCTGGGGATATCATGAAGAATCCCCCAGTACCCTCAGGTTCCTGGGGATATTGGCTATGTTTCAAACCAGTTTCCCTTCCTGGAGGACCCAGTCATCGTATGGGGCTTAAAGAGATCCTGGAGCAACAAAGAATTTCTGGCCAGGACTACACCCTGGTGTTATCTGAAGGCTTCTGGACCAACTCCAGCCTTCAACTGCCCAACCAACCATCAGCAATAGGATCTCCAGCTTTTCTATCACAAATTTCCTCCTTGCCTTTCTGCAATTGCCATGTCTCCTATCATCTCTATATATGCAATGCTCTGGAAATTTTTACAGTTCAGTGAAGTAGTCCTGTTAGGAATGGTCAGCAAATGCCATAGTAACTGGGAATATAGCTTAAGAGAACGCTGTTTTTGTGATTTTCTAGGAAGAGAGGATCTTCCCCCATCCCCTACAGTGAGCATCTCTCTCTGCGCTTGGTCTGGAGAGCACATGCTCAACAGCACCACCTACAGGAATAGGAATCCTCTCCATGAGGTACATTGTTGGCCCTTTTCCAAAACACTTTAACTTCCCAATTTTCCTCCCTTTTTGTGCCCCTCTACTAGAGACCAAGCTTTATGCCTTTTCTGTGAAAGGGAAAATCTCTGCCTTCAACAGTGATGAGGAAAATGTCCTCTGAAAACAAATTTTAGTCTCGATAGTGTCCCATCAGCTGGAAAACCACCATTTGGTCCCTACATTCTTTTAAGGCACCTACTCTGTCTCCAATTAAAATGGTACTTACATAGTAAGGAGACTTAAGAGTAAATGCTTTGGCATGGGCCATAATAACAGGATATAGAGTTCAATGTAATGCACCCACTCCATTAAAGGGGTCTTGCCCAAATGCAACCATTACATAGTCTTTTTCAAGATCTCTCTTTCTGGGAGCCACACAGGTCATGTCAGTCTAAGAAGTCAATGGGAAATCATAAACGGAAGACTAGAGTTGCATGGGTAAGTGTGAGTAATCCCAATTGCTTAGTTCCGCCATTTCTATGGCTGGGGTTCATGCCTGCGACCATGGACAATATGTTTAACAATGTGCTGGAGTCCCAGGAACCAAGGAGGGAAAAGAATAGGGGGTAAACTCCTGCTCTCTTCCCCTCCACCTTGGGTCACAACAAAAGGAAGGAGGTTACAGGGATGCCTTTTTTCTGGCTTCTCTTTCTAGATGGGTAACAAACCATCTTCAACCTGTACTCCTCTGAATTGCATTCTGAAGCACTAGGATTCCTTTGACCTTGAGACTTTGGGGAAAAAAGCAGCTAATTTTCTTTTGCACAAGGGCATGGCCTTGTTACTAGACCTTTGCAAGCACTGCACAATCGACTCAGCTCTTTTAGCAGTCATATCAGGTGGGCCCAGTGGGAATGATTCCACAAAACTAAAGAAACAGACCCCCCAGGAAACCCTTAAATGCAACTTCCAGATGCCCCAGCCATTCCTGTTCCCCCTATTTACATCAACAGCTATTTCAGTTCCACCACACAAACTCCAGACTTTTCTGTGGTATTTTTCCTTCCTCCTGACATGGTTTAAAATGGCTTCTATCTCTTCTTTTATAATGTTCCTCCAAACTTCGAAAAGTTAATTTCTCCAAACGTTAAAATGCTGGGCTCAAGGGAAGGGAACCCAGAAACATGACAGGCCAGCAAAAGGGTAAAAGTTGTTTTTTTTTTTTTTCACCAGTCAGGATTTTGGCTTCTCTCTCCCTGTACAAAATAGTAAAAGGAATAATAAGTTTCATTATGTATATTTTCTGTGAAGTTTTAATTCATGAAAAACGATTTATGAGGTTGGTCTTAAGCTGTAGCCAATCCAGTGTTCTTTGTGAGTCTTTCTGTGTGGCTTTGTCAAGAGAAAGCATATCTCAGACTAGGATGCAGGCCTGGGACCCTATAAGCCTGCTGTTTGAGCCAGTCCCAACAAAATGGTCAGTAACAAACTTTGCTGCCTCTTGTTTAATGTCTTTGGGAATGTGACCTGTAACCACGTGACAATACTACATTTTAGTCACCACCATTTTACAATGGTGGTCCAGGTTAAATTCTGGCTTGGGAAGTGAATACTTTAATTTTACCATTTGCTGATTCTCTTACCCCTTCATGAACAACTTCTATCTGCCTTTCTTAAATCTTCCTCTAAGTTGCCTTTAAATGTTCTAGATTTTGTAATAGTGCAACTGCTCAATGGGTTCAACTTGCGTGCTGCCCAGGCAGAGGTGATTTATCAAAACAGGGTAATTATAGTCAGGTCAGCAGTGTGGGAGATGGGAGTTTTGTCATTGCTCAGGTGGGTCTCCCTCAGCATTTGGGGAGCAGAGTTTTTGGGGACAGCTTGGTAGCAGGGGGGAGCCAATGAGACAGGAATGCTGACACGTAGAGTCAGAAATGAAATCATAGGGAGTCAAAGTTGTCTTCTTGTGCTAAATTAGTTCCTGGATGGGGGCCACAAAATTAGATAAGCCAGTTCATCAATCTTGGTGATGCCAGCTGATCCAACAATGGCAGGGTTTGCAAAATATCTTGAGCACTCATCTTGGGAGCAGTTTAGAAAGGGTCAAAATCTTGTATCCTCCAGCTGCATGACTCCTAAGCCATGGTTTCTAATCTTGTGCCTAGTTTCTTCGTCTGGTCCCTAGGCAAAAAGGGAGGTTCATTTTGAGAAAGGGCTATTATTGACTTTGTTTTAAACTATAAACTGTAAACCAAGCTCTTCCTAGAGTTGGTTCCATGTACGCCTAGGGATGGGCAAGGACAGCTTGGGGGCTGGAGACAACATAGAGTTGGTTGGGTTGGATCTCTTTCACTGTCTCAGTCACAACTTTGCAAAAACACTTTCAAAACCTGTTTACCCCTCCTTTGAAAATATCTTGTATACTCATGGTTAAGTCATAACCTAAGTAAGGCTTTTGATTTCACCTGTGAGGCAACTTTTGGTAAAGTTCAAAAGCCAAAAATCTTAACTGCTTGGTGTGGCTAAAGTTGAGTAACAAGGGATTTAAAGGGATTTTCTTAGGAGCACGCAGCTTAATTAAAAGTGGATATCCAAGTTATAGGCATATTTAAAAGGCCTTTATGTTTTTCTGTTCTTGGATCTTGTTTTTCTGAAAAATGTTTTTTCTCAGTCAACTAAATTCCTTTTCTCCATTTTGTTTTGCCACTCTCAATGTATGCATTACTTAATGCACACATGAGAGGCCCCAAGATAACTTCTGATACTGTGAGACTTCTTGGGAAAACAGAAAATGTACCACAAGTCTCATTTTGGGAGAAATCTCTGTTTTTCCTCATGGAACTCCAGGAATTAGTGGCGGATAGATCCCTCTCAAAAATGTGTTTTTGTCTTCCTTAAAAACCGCATGCTCTCCTAGCCCCACTCTTAAAGGGCCTCACCCAGAGACCAATAATCCAACTGAAGATAAATCTTATAACAACTGAGTCTTTTTCTGTTTGTCTGTGTAGTTATGTGTGTTATGTGTAACGTCTATAAAAAGAGCTCCAATTGATTGGCTTAAAGAAAAATAAGCACTTAAATCAAATAATTTTTAAAGGAAAGATGAAAGCTGTAATGTTTTTTAGCTCAAGTGACTTTAACTTTTAAAAAATAAAAAAGCCTTAAGGATTATTGGTAAAATACAGGTGGCATCCAATACAGGCAAATAGGTGGTCTAAATCATATAAGTCAGATACAAGGTTTGCTAAATATTTCCATGCAAACTCCTGCTTTACAACTTCATAAGGCCTGGGGAAATGCAAAATTATCCATGTCCCTAACTATGCTGGAAAAATTCAAACTTAATCTGTGCCTACTACATAATCAAAACAACTTACCAGGTTTCACATTAAAGTTAAAAATTGCTAAAAGTCAGCATTATAACATGTAATTAAAATAGACTTACATGCAAGGTGTGTAAAAACAGTAAAATATGTTTTTAGTAGAAGACTATAAGAAGGCATAGAAGTGTACATTTTGCTAGGGATAAAGGATTGTCTTAAATTAGATATGATAAAGCTGAAGGTTTAAGCAAGTATTGGAAAGATTATAAAAATTAATCTTGCAAAAATATCATCTGTAAACATTAACTAATTTCAAAACGGTATTATATGTTCTTTTCATAAATTGAGCACTGAAATAAAAGCACAACAAGGGTGTCTTAAAACACTGGTCTGCCCTTTAGCAAAAGGGTTATAAAAAGTTTGTAAAAATTAATGGTCAAATTGGTTAAGATTAGATGGAATTGCCAATGATTTTTCATTTAAAAATTGGGTTCATATTAATAAACTAATACAAGGGTAAAATTTGGCTTTGAACAGGATTTTCATATAATAGTAAACGTTAATAAAAGATTTTTGTCTTTTTTCATCATTATGGCAAAATAAATGACTTATGGTAACCTGGAATTCTATTTCATAACATCAAGTGTTTTAAATCTCTAACATATATAAGAGGCTTCCGAAAATCAAACCTCAGTTTCAACGTTGTCTTTCCTGACCTCTAGCTTCTGGATGCCACAGAGGGCCAATGAAGCATTTGAAAGAAAGGTAAACAGGCTTATTTGACATGTTTAGGCATGTGAGTTTCCACAACGATGTTTAACATTCTTCAAGTTATATTTTAGTGAATAATATTAATATATGCTCCACAATTGTGTGGGATTTATAAAATTCTATTGTCTCAGTATGTGCTATTAATTATAACAAAGGTTGTTAAGTCATTGTACACCACTAAGATAACTAAACTTCTCTGTCACTCATGTTTTTAATTTTTTTCTTTATCTTTTTTATTTTATTATATTTTTTATTATTATACTTTAAGTTTTAGGGTACATGTGCACAATGTGCAGGTTAGTTACATATGTATACATGTGACATGCTGGTGCGCTGCACCCACTAACTCGTCATCTAGCATTAGGTATATCTCCCAATGCTATCCCTCCCCCCTCCCCTCACCCCACAACAGTCCCCAGAGTGTGATGTTCCCCTTCCTGTGTCCATGAGTTCTCATTGTTCAATTCCCACCTCTGAGTGAGAACATGTGGTGTTTGGTTTTTTGTCCTTGTGATAGTTTACTGAGAATGATGATTTCCAATTTCATCCACGTCCCTGCAAAGGATATGAACTCATCATTTTTTATGGCTGCATAGTATTCCATGGTGTATATGTGCCACATTTTCTTAATCCAGTCTATCAGTGATGGACGTTTGGGTTGGTTCCAAGTCTTTGCTATAGTGAATAGTGCCGCAATAAACATAGGTGTGCATGTGTCTTTATGGCAGCATGATTTATAGTCCTTTGGGTATATACCCAGTAATGGGATGGCTGGGTCAAATGGTATTTCTAGTTCTAGATCCCTGAGGAATTGCCACACTGACTTCCACAATGGTTGAACTAGTTTACAGTCCCACCAACAGTGTAAAAGTGTTCCTATTTCTCCACATCCTCTCCAGCACCTGTGGTTTCCTGACTTTTTAATGATTGCCATTCTAACTGGTGTGAGATGGTATCTCATTGTGGTTTTGATTTGCATTTCTCTGATGGCCAGTGATGATGAGCATTTTTTCATGTGCTTTTTGGCTGTATAAATGTCTTCTTTTGAGAAGTGTCTGTTCATGTCCTTCACCCACTTTTTGATGGGGTTGTTTGTTTTTTTCTTGTGAATTTGTTTGAATTCATTGTAGACTCTGGATATTAGCCCTTCATCAGATGAGTAGGTTGCAAAAATTTTCTCTCATTTTGTGGGTGGCCTGTTCACTCTGATGATAGTTTCTTTTGCTGTGCAGAAACTCTTTAGTTTAATTAGATCCCATTTGTCAATTTTGGTTTTTGTTGCCATTGCTTTTGGTGTCTTACACATGAGGTCCTTGCCCGTGCCTATGTCCTGAATGGTAATGCCTAGGTTTTCTTCTGGGGTTTTGATGGTTTTAGGTCTAACGTTTAAGTCTTTAATCCATCTTGTATTGATTTTTGCGTAAGGGGTAAGGAAGGGATCCAGTTTCAGCTTTCTCCATATGGCTAGCCAGTTTTCCAGCACCATTTATTAAATAGGGAATCTTTTCCCCATTGCTTGTTTTTCTCATGTTTGTCAAAGATCAGATAGTTGTAGATATGCAGCATTATTTCTGAGGGCTTTGTTCTGTTCCATTGATCTATATCTCTGTTTTGGTACCAGTACCATTCTGTTTTGGTTACTGTAGCCTTGTAGTATAGTTTGAAGTCAGGTAGTGTGATGCCTCCAGCTTTGTTCTTTTGGCTTAGGATTGACTTGGTGATGTGGGCTCTTTTTTGGTTCCATATGAACTTTAAAGTAGTTTTTTCCAATTCTGTGAAGAAAGGCATTGGTAGCTTGATGGGGATGGCATTGAATCTGTAAATTACCTTGGGCAGTATGGCCATTTTCACATATTGATTCTTCCTACCCATGAGCATGGAATGTTCTTCCATTTGTTTGAATCCTCTTTTATTTCATTGAGCAGTGGTTTGTAGTTCTCCTTGAACAGGTCCTTCACATCTCTTCTAAGTTGGATTCCTAGGTATTTTATTCTCTTTGAAGCAATTGTGAATGGGAGTTCACTCATGATTTGGCTCTCTGTTTGTCTGTTGTTGGTGTATAAGAATGCTTGTGATTTTTGTACATTGATTTTGTATCCTGAGACTTTGCTGAAGTTGCTTATCAGCTTAAGGAGATTTTGGGCTGAGACAACGGGGTTTTCTAGATATACAATCATGTCATCTGCAAACAGGGACAATTTCTCTTCCTCTTTTTCTAATTGAATACCGTTTATCTCCTTCTCCTGCCTAATTGCCCTGGCCAGAACTTCCAACACTATGTTGAATAGGAGTGGTGAGAGAGGGCATCCCTGTCTTGTGCCAGTTCTCAAAGGGAATGCTTCCAGTTTTGCCCATTCAGTATGATATTGGCTGTGGGTTTTAGCTCTTATTATTTTGAGATACGTCCCATCAATACCTAATTTATTGAGAGTTTTTAGCCTGAAGTGTTGCTGAATTTTGTCAAAGGCCTTTTCTGCATCTATTGAGATAATCATGTGGTTTTTGTCTTTGGCTCTGTTTATATCATGGATTACATTTATTGATTTGCATATATTGAACCAGCCTTGCATCACAGGGATGAAGCCCACTTGATCATGGTGGATAAGCTTTTTGATGTGCTGCTGGATTGGGTTTACCAGTATTTTATTGAGGATTTTTGCATCGATGTTCATGAAGGATATTGGTATAAAATTCACTTTTTTGTTGTGTCTCTGGAGGGCTTTGGTATCAGAATGATGCTGGCCTCTTAAAATGAGTTAGGGAGGATTCTCTCTTTTTCTATTGCTTGGAATAGTTTCAGAAGGAATGGTACCAGTTCCTCCTTGTACCTCTGGTAGAATTCGGCTGTGAATCCTTCTGGTCCTGGACCTTTTTTGGTTGGTAAGCAATTGATTATTGCCACAATTTTAGCTCCTGTTATTGGTCTATTCAGAGATTCAACTTATTCCTGGTTTAGTCTTCGGAGAGTGTATGTGTCAAGGAATTTATCCATTTCTTCTAGATTTTTCTAGAAAATTTTCTGAGAATGCTTCTGTCTAGGTTTGATGTGAAGATATACCCGCTTCGAACGAAGGACACAAAGTGGTCCAAATATCCACTTGCAGATTCTACTAAAAGAGTGTTTCAAACCTGAACTATCAAAGGAAGGTTCAACACTGTGAGTTGAATCCAAACTTCACAAAGAAGTTTCGGAGAATGCTTCCATTTAGTTATGGGAAGTTTATCCCTTTTCCAATGAAATCCTCACAGAGATCCAAATATCCACTTGCAGATTCTACAAAAAGTGTGTTTGCAAACTGCTCCATCAAAACGAATGTTCAGCTCTCTGAGTTAAACTCAATCGTCACAAAGAATTTTCTGAGAGTGCTACTGTCTAGTTTTTATATGAAGTTCTTTCCATTACTACCATAGGCCTCAAAGTCGTACAAATCTTCACTTGCAGATTCTACAGAAAGAGTGTTTCCAAACTGCTCTTTCAAAAGGAATGTTCAACTCTGTGAGTTGAATGCAATCATCACAGAGTAGTTTCTGAGAACGCTTCTAGGTAGTTTTCATGAGAAGATATTTCCTTTTCCAACAGAGTCCCCAAAGCCCTGCAAATGTCCACTTGCAGATTCTAGAAAAAGAGTGTTTAAAAGCTGCTCTATCAAAGTGAAAGTTCAACTCTGTGAGGTGAATGCAAACATCACAAAGAAGTTTTTGAGAATGCTTCTGTTTAGCTTTTATGTGAAGATGATCCAGATTCCAATGAAATCCTCAAAGAGGTCCAAATATCCACTTGCGGATCCCACAGAAAGAGTGTTTAGAAACTGCTGTTTCAAAAGGAATCTTCAACTCTGAGTTGAATGCAATAATCACAAAGAAGTTTCTGACAATGCTTCTCTCTAGTTTTTATGTGAAGATATTTTCTTTTCCACCACAGGCCTGAAAGCGCTCCAAATGTCCACTTGCAGATTGTACTAAAAGAATGTTTCAAAACTGCTCTATGAAAAGCAATGTTAAACTCTGTGACTCGAACACAAACATCACGAAGAAGTTTCTGAGAATGCTTCAGTTTAGTTTTTCTCTGAATATACTCCTGTTTCTAAAGAAATCTTCAAAGAGGTCCACATATCCTTTTACAGATTCTACAAAAAGAGAGTTTCAAAACTGCTCAATCAAAAGGAGGGTTCAATTCTGTGACTTGAATGCAATCATCACACAGAAGTTTCTGAGAATGCTTCTCTTGAGTTTTTACGTGAAGTTATACCCGTTTCGAATGAAGGCCACACAGTGATCCAAATATCCACTTGCAGATTCTACAAAAAGAGTGTTTCAAACCTGAACTATCAAAGAAAAGTTCAACACTGTGAGTTGAATGCAAACATCACAAAGAAGTTTCTGAGAATTCTTCCGTTTATTTATGTGAAGATTATCCCATTTGCAACAATTTCCTCAGAGACCTCCAAATATCCACTTGCAGATTCTACAAAAAGTGTGTTTCAAAACTGCTCCATCAAAAGGAATGTTCAGCTTTGTGAGTTAAACTCAGTCTTCACCAAGAATTTTGTGAGAGTGCTACTGTCATAGTTTTTATATGAAGTTATATCCTTTTCTACCACAGGCCTCACAGCAGTCCAAATCTCCATTTCCAGATTATACAAAAAGAGTGTTTCCAAACTGCTCTATCAAAAGGAATGTTCAACTCAGTGAGTTGAATGCAATCATCACAAAGTAGTTTCTGAGAATGCTTCCATCTAGTTTTTATGAGAAGATATTTCCTTTTCCACCACAGTACTCAAAGCCCTCCAATTGTCCAACTGCAGACTCTAGAAAAAGAGTTTTTCAAAGTCACTCTATCAAAGGGAAAGTTCAGCTCTGTGAGGTGAATGCAAACATCACAAAGAAGTTTCTGAGAATGCTTCAGTTTAGCTTTTATGTGAAGATTATCCCGTTTCCAATGAAATCTTCAAAGAGGTGCAAATATCCACTTGCGGATTCCACAGAAAGAGTGTTTCGAAACTGCTGTTTCAAAAGGAATCTTCAACTCTGTGAGTTGAATGCAATCATCACAAAGAAATTTCTGACAATGCTTCTCTCGTTTTTATGTGAAGATATTTCCTTTTCCACCACAGGCCTGAAAGTGCTCCAAATGTCGACTTGCAGATTCAACGAAAAGAATGTTTCAAAACTGCTCTATGATAAGCAATGTTATACTCTGTGACTTTAACACAAACATCACAATGAAGTTTCTGAGAATGCTTCTGTTTAGTTTTTATGTGAAGATATTCCTGTTTCCAAGGACATCTTCAAAGAGGTGCACATATCCACTTGCAGATTCTATAAAAAGGGAATTTCCAAACTGCTCAATCAAAATGAGTGTTCAACTCTGTGAGTTGAATGCAATCATCACAGAGAAGTTTCTAAGAATGCTTCTGTCTAGTTTTTATGTGAAGATATACCCATTTCGAATGAAGGCCACAAAGTGGTCCAAATATCCACTTGCAGATTCTACAAATAGAGTGTTTCAAACCTGAACTATCAAAGGAAGTTTCATCTCTGTGAGTTGAATGCAAACATCACAAAGAAGTTTCTGAGAATGCTTCCGTTTAGTTATGTGAAGTTTATCCAGTTTCCCATGAAATCCTCAGAGAGGTCCAAATATCCACTTGCACGTTTTAAAAAAAGTGTGCTTTGAAACTGCTCCATCAAAAGGAATGTTCAGCTCTGTGAGTTAAACTCAATCATCACAAAGAATT
The DNA here is from genome assembly GCF_000001405.40 of Homo sapiens. NCBI lineage: Eukaryota > Metazoa > Chordata > Mammalia > Primates > Hominidae > Homo > Homo sapiens. Next base: position 54,549,310 of record NC_000011.10, on the reverse strand, counting down.
TTCTGAGAATGCTTCTGTCTAGTTTTTATATGAAGTTATTTCCTTTACTACCATAGGCTTCAAGGCGGTCCAAATCTCCACTTTCAGATTCTACAAAAAGAGTGTTTCCAAAGTCCTCTATCAATAGGAATGTTCAACTCTGTGAGGTGAATGCAGTCATCACAAAGTAGTTTCTGAGAATGCTTCTATCTAGTTTTTATGTGAAGATATTTCCTTTTCCACCACTGGCCTCAAAGCCCTCCAAATGTGTACTTGCAGATTCTAGAAAAAGAGTGTTTCATAGCTGCTCTTTCCACAGGAAAGTTCAACTCTGGAAGTTGAATACAGGCATCACAAAGAAGTTTCTGAGAATGTTCTGTTTAGTTTTTATGTGAAAATATTCCCGTCTCCGAAGAAATCTTCAAGGAGGACAACATATCCACTTGCAGATTCTACAAAAAGGGAGTTTCAAAACTGCTCTATCAAAAGGAGTGTTCAACTCTTTGAGTTGAATGCAGTCGTCACAGAGAAGTTTTGAAGATGCTTATGACTAGTTTTCATGTGAAGATATTTCCTTTTCCACTGCAGGCCTCACAGCGCTGCAAATGTCTCCTTGTAGATTCTACAAAAAGAGAGAGTTTCAAAAGTGCTCAATCAAAAGAAAGATTCAGCTTTCTGAGTTGAATCCACACATCTCAAAGAAGTTTCTGAGTTTGCTTCTGTCTAGTTCTTATATGAAGATATTTCCATTACTAGCATAAGCCTCAAAGCGCTGTCAATGTCCAGTTGCAGATTATACAAAAATAGTGTTTCAAGACTGCTCTATAAGTAGGAAGTTTCAACTCTCAGAGCTGAAGCAGACCTCACAAGGAAGTTTCTGAGAATGCTTCTGTCTAGTTATTATGTGAAGTTATAACCGTTTCAAATGAAGGCCAGAAAGTGGTCTAAATATCCACTTACAGATTCTATTAAAAGAGTATTTCAAACCTGATCTAACAAAGGAAGGTTCAACTCTGTGAGTTGAATGCAAACATCACAAAGCATATACAGAGAATGTTTCTGTTTTGTTATGTGAAGTTTATCCCGTTTCCAGCGACATCCTGAGAGAAGTTCAAATATCCACTTGCAGATTCTAAAAAAAGTGTGTTTGGAAACTGCTCCAACAAAACGAATGTTCAGCTCTGTGAGTTAAACTCAATTGTCACAAAGAATTTTCTGAGACTGCTACTGTCTAGTTTTTATATGAACTTATTTCCTTTACTACCATAGGCCACTAAGCGGTCCAAATCTGCACTTGGAAATTCTACAAAAGAGTGTTTCCAAACTGCTCTATCAAAAGGAATGTTCAACTCTGTGAGTTGAATGCAATCATCACAAAGTAGTTTCTGAGAATCCTTCTATCTAGTTTTTATGAGAAGATATTTCCTTTTCCACCACAGTCCTCAAAGCCCTCCAAATATCCACTTGCAGATCCTACAAAAAGAGTGTTTCAAAGCTGCTCTATCAAAGGAAAAGTTCAGCTCGGTGAGGTGAATGCAAACATCACAAAGAAGGTTCTGAGAATTCTTCTGTTTAGCTTTTATGTGAAGATTATCCCGTTTCCAACAAAATCTTCAAAGAGGTCCAAACATCCTCTTCTGGATTCCACAGAAAGTGTGTTTTGAAACTGCTGTTTCAAAAGGAATCTTCAACTCTGTGAGTTGAATGCAATCATCACAAAGTAGTTTCTGACAATGCTTCTGTCTAGTTTTTATGTGAAGATATTTCCTTTTCCATCACAGGCCTGAAAGCACTCCAAATGTCCACTTGCACATTCTATGAAAAGAATGTTTCAAAACTGCTCTATGAAAAGCGATGTTAAACCCTGTGACTTGTACACAAACATCACAAAGAAGTTTCTGAGAATGTTACTGTTTAGTTTTTATGTGAAGACATTGCTGTTTCCAAAGAAATCTTCAAAGAGGTCCACTTATCCACTTGCAGATTCTATAGAAAGGGAGTTTCAAAACTGCTCAATCAAAAGGAGTGTTCAAATCTGTGAGTTGAATGCAATCATGACAGTGATGTTTCTGAGAATGCTTCTGTCTAGTTTTCATGTGAAGATATACCCGTTTCGAATGAAGGCCACAAAGTCGTCCAAATATCCACTTGCAGATTCTACAAAAAGAGTGTTGCAAACATGAACTATGAAAGCAAGGTTCAACTCTGTGAGTTGAATGCAAACATGACAAAGAAGTTTCTGAGAATGCTTCTGTTTAGTTATGTGAATTTTATCTAATTTCCAATGAAATCCTCCCAAGAGATCCAAATATCCACTTGCAGATTCTACAAAAAGACTGTTTTGAAACTGCTCCATCAAAAGAATGTTCAGCTCTGTGAGTTAAACTCAACCATCAAAAAGGATTTTCTGAGAATGCTTCTGTTTAGTTTTTATATGAAGTTATTTCCTTTACTCCCATAGGCCTCAATGCGGTCCAAATCTCCACTTGCAGATTCTACAAAAAGAGGGTTTCCAAACTGCTCTTTCAGTATGAACGTTGAACTCTGTGAGTTGAATGCAATCACCACAAAATGGTTTCTGAGAATGCTTCTATCTAGTTTTTATGTGAAGATATTTCCTTTTCCACCACAGGCCTCAAAGCCCTCCAAATGTCCACTTGCAGATTCTTGAAAAATTGTGTTTCACAGCTGCTGTTTCAAAAGGAAAGTTCAACTCCAGAATTTGAATACAAACAACAGAAATCAGTCTCTGAGAATGCTTCTGTTTAGTTTTTCTGTGAAGATGATCCAGTTTCCAAGGAAATCTTCAAAGAGATCCGCATATCCACTTGCAGATTCCACAGAAAGAGAGTTTCAAAACTACTGTACCACAAGGAGTGTTCAACTGTGTGAGTTGAACGTAGTCATCACAGAAAAGTTTCTGAGAATGCTTCTGTGTAGTTTTAATGTGAAGATATACACGTTTGGAATGAAGGCCACAAATTGGTCCAAATATCCACTTGCAGATTCTACGAAAAGAGTGTTTCAAACCTGAACTATTAAAGGAAGTTCCAACTCCGTGAGTTGAATGCAAACATCACAAAGAATTTTCTGAGAATGCTTCTGTTTATTTATGTGATATTTATCCCGTTTCCAACGAAATCCTCAGAGAGGTAAAAATGTCCACTTGCAGATTTTACAAAAAGTGTGTTTTGAAACTGCTCCATCCAAAGGAATGTTCAGCTCTGTGAGTTAAACTCAATCATCACAAAAATTTTCTGAGAATGCTTCTGTCTAGTTTTTATATGAAGTTATTTCGTTTAGTACCGTAGGCTGCAAAGCAGTCCAAATTTCCACTTGCAGATTCTTCAAAAAGAGTGTTTCAAAACTGATATATCAAAAGGAGTGTTCAACTTGTGAGATGAATGCAATCATCACAGAGAAGCTTCTGAGAATGCTTCTGTCTAGTTTTTATGTGAGGATATACCCGTTTCGAACGAAGGCCACAAAGTGGTCCAAATATCCACTTACAGATTCTACAAAAACAGTGTTTCAATCCTGAACTATCAAAGGAAATTTCAACTCTGTGTGTTGAATGCAAACTTCACAAAGATGTTTCTGAGAATGCTTCTGTTTAATTACGTCAATTTTATCCCTTTTACAATGGAATCCTCAAAGTGGTCCAAATACCCACTTGCAGATTATGCCAAACGTGTGATTTGAAACTGCTCCATCAAAAGGAATGCTCAGCTCTATGAGTTTCTGAGAATGCTTTTGTCAGGTTTTTACATGAAGTTATTTCCTATACTATCATATGCCTCAAAGCAGTCCAAATCTCCACTTGCAGATTCTACAAAAAGAGTGTTTAAAAACTGCTCTATCAACAGGAGTGTTCAACTCTGTGAGTTGAATGCAATCATCACAGAGAAGTTTCTGAGAATGCTTCTGTCTAGTTTTTTGTGAAGATATTTCCTTTTCCACCACAGGCCTCGCAGTGCTCCAAATGTCTACTTGCAGATTATACAAAAAGAGAGTTTCAAAACTGTTCTATCAAAAGAAAGTTTCAACTTTCTGAGTTGAATACGCACATCACAAAGTAGTTTCTGAGAATGCTTCTGTCTAGTTTTTATATGAAGATATTTCCTTTGCTAGCATAGGCCTCAAAGTGCTGCCAATGTCCAGTTGCAGATTCTACAAAAAGAGTGTTTAAAGACTGCTCTATCAATAGGAAGTTTCAAATCTCTGATGTGAATGCAGACATCACAAGGAAGTTTCTGATTTTTCTTCTGTCTAGTTTTTATGTGAAGGTATAGCCGTTTTGAACGAAGGCCACACAGTGGTCCAAATATCCACTTGCAGATTCTACAAAAAGAGTGTTTCAAACCTGAACTATCAAAGGAAGTTTCAACTCTGTGAGTTGAATGCAAACATCACAAATAAGTTTCTGAGAATGCTTCTGTTTAGTTCTGTGAAATATATCCCATTTCCAAAGAAATCCTCAAAGAGGTCCACATATCCAAATGCAGATCCTACAGAAAGTTTGTTTCGAAACTGCTCCATCAAAAGTAATGTTCAGCTCTGTGAGGTGAGCTCAATCATCACAAAGAAGTTTCTGGGAATGCATCTGCCTAGTTTTCATATGAAGTTATTTCCTTTACTACCATAGGCCTCAAATCGGTCCAAATATCCACTTGCAGATTCTACAAAACGAGTGTTTCAAAACTCTCTGTCAAAAGGAATGTTCAACTCTGTGAGTTCAATGCAATCATCACAAAGTAGTTTCTGAGAATGCTTCCATCTAGTTTTCATGTATAGATATTTCCTTTTCCACCACTGGCCACAAAGCCCTCCAAATGTCCACTTGCAGATTCTAGAAAAAGCGTGTTTCAAAACTACTCTATCAAAAGGAATGTTCAACACTGTGAGTTGAATGGAAACATCACAAGAAGTTTCTGAGAGTGCTTCTGTTTAATTTTTAGGTGAAGATATTCCGTTTCCAATGAAATCCTCAAAGAGGTGCAAATATCCACTTGCAAATTCTACAGAAAGAGTATTTCCAAACATCTGTTACAATAGGAATCTTCAACACTGTGAGTTGAATGCAATCATCACAAAGAAATTTCTGAGAATGCTTCTATCTAATTTTTATGGGAATATATTTCCTTTTCCACCACAGGCCTCAAAGTGCTCCAAATGTCCAATTGCAGATTCTAAGAAAAGAATGTTTCAAAACTGCTCTATGAAAAGCTGTGTTAAACTCTGTGAGTTGAATACAAACTTCACAAAGAAGTTTCTGAGAGTGCTTCTGTTTAGTTTTTATGTGAAGGTATTCCCTTTTCCATAGAAATCTTCAAAGAGGTCCAAATATACACTTGAAGATTCTGCAGAATAGTGTTTCAAACTGCTCTTCTTAAAGGAATGTTCAGCTCTATGAGTCAAATGCAATCATCTCAACGTAGTTTCTGAGAATGCTTCTCTCTAATTCTTATGTCAAGATTTTTCCTTTTCCACCACAGGCCTCAAAGCTCTCCAAATGTCCCCTAGCAGATACTACAAAAGAAAGTTTCAAAAATGCTCTATGGAAAGCAATGTTAAACTCTGTGAGCTGAACACAAACATCACAAAGTTGTTTCTGAGAATGCTTTTGTTTAGTACTTAAGTGAAGATACAACCGTTTCCTATGAAATCTTCAAAGAGGTCCAAATATCCAGTTGTAGATTCTACAAAAAGAGAGTTTCAAAACTGCTCTATCAATAGGAATGTTCAACTCTGTGAGTCGAATGCAATCATCACAGAGTAGTTTCTGTGAACGCTTCTGTCTAGTTTTTATATGAAGATATTTCCTTTTCCACCACAGGCCTCACAGCGCTCCAAATGTCTACTTGCAGATTCCACAAAAAGAGAGTTTCAAATCTGCTCTATCAAAGGAAATGTTCAACTTTCTGAGTTGAATGCACACATCACAATGAAGTTTCTGAGAATGCTTCTGTCTAGTTTTTATATGAAGATATTTACTAGCATCGACCTCAAAGCATGCCAATGTGCAATTGCAGAATATACAAAAAGAGTGTTTCAAGACTGCTATAACAAAAGGAACTTCCAACTCTCTGAGTTGAATGCAGAAATCACAAGGAAGTTTCTGAGAATGCTTCTGTCTAGTTTCTTTGTGAAGATATACCCGTTTCAAACGAAGGCCAAAAAGTGGTCCAAATATCCCCTTGCAGACTCTACGAAGAGACTGTTTCCAACCTGCACTGTCAAATTAAGTTTCAACTCTGTTCATTGAATGCAAACATCACAAATAATTTTCTGAGAATGCTTCTGTTTAGTTATGTGAAGCTTATCCCATTTCCAACGAAATCCTCAAAGAAGTCCAAATATCCACTTGCAGATTGTACAAAAAGTGTGTTTTGAAACTGCTCCATAAAAAGGAATATTCAGCTCTGTGTGTTGAACTCAATCATCACAAAGAAGTTTCAGAGAATGCTTCTGTCTAGTTTTTATATGAAGTTATTTCCTTTACTACCGTAGTCCTCAAAACAGTCCAAATGTCCACTTGCAGATTCTACAAAAAAAGTGTTAGAAAACTGCTCTATCAAAAGGAATGTTCAACTCTGTGGGTTGAATGCAATCATCACAAAGTGGTTTCTGATAATTCTTCTATCTAGTTGTTATATGAAGATATTTGCTTTTCCACCAGAGGCCTCAAAGCCCTCCAAATGTCCACTTGCAGATTCTCGAAAAAGAGTGTTTCAAAACTGCTCAATCAAAAGGAATGTTCAACCCTCAGAGTCGAATACAAACAACACTAAGCAGTTTCTGAGAATGCTTTTGTTTAGTTTTTATGTGAAGATTATCCCGTTTCCAACGAAATCTTCAAAGAGGTCCAAATATCCCCTTGCAGATTCTACAAAAAGAGTGTTTCAAAACTGTTGTTCCAAAGGGAATGTTCAACTCTGTGAGTTGAATGCAATCATCAGAGAGAATTTTCTGAGAATTATTCTGTCTAGTTTTTATGTGAGGATATTTCCTTTTCCACCACAGGCCTCAAAGCCCTCCAAATGTCCACTTGCAGACTCTAGAAAAAGAGTGTTTCAAAACTGCTCCATCAAAAGGAATGTTCAACTCTGTGAGTTGAATGCAAACATCAGATAGAAATTTCCGAGAATGCTTCTGTTTAGATTTTATGTGAAGACAATCCCGCTTCCAACGAAATCTTCAAAGACGTCCAAATATCCCCTTGCAGATTCTACAAAAACAGTGTTTCAAAACTGTTGTTCCAAACGGAATGTTCAACTCTGTGAGTTGAATGCAATCATCAGAGAGAATTTTCTGAGAATTCTTCTATCTTCTTTTTATGTGAAGATATTTCCTTTACCACCACTGGCCACACAGCACTCTTAATGTCTTCTTGCAGATTCTACAAAAAGAGTGTTTGTTTGAAACGTGAACTATCAAAGGAAGTTTCAACTCTGTGAGTTGAATGCAAACATCACAAAGAATTTTCTGAGAATGTTTCCGTTTAGTAATTTGAAGTCTATGCGTGTTCCAACGAAATACTCAAAGAGGTCCAAATATCCACTTACAGATTCTACAAAAGTGTGTTTCAAAACTATCTCATCAAGAGGAATGTTCAACTCTGTGAGTTGAATTCACCAAACACAAAGAAGTTTCTGAGAATGCATCTGTCTAGTTTTTGTATGAAGATATTTCCTTTACTACCATAGGCCTCAAATTTTTCCAAATATCCACTTGCAGATTCTATAAGCAGAGTGTTTCAAAACTGCTCTGTCAAAAGGAACCTTCAACTCTGTGAGTTGAATGCAATCATCACAAAGAAGTTGCTGAGGATCCTTCTCTGTAGTTTTTATGGGAAGATATTTCCTTTTCCACCTAAGGCCTCACTGCCCTCCAAATGTCCACTTGCAGATTCCAAAAAAATAGTGTTTCAAAACTGATCTACCAAAAGAAAGGTTCAACTCCTTGAGTTGAATGCACAGATCATGAAGAAATTTCTGAGAATGCTTCTGTCTAGTTTTAACATTAAGATATACCCGTTTCCAAAGAATTCCACATAGCAGTCAAATATCCACTAGCAGAATCTACAAAAGGGTATTTCAAAACGGCTCTATCTAAAGGAATATTCAACTATTTGGGTTGAACGCACACGTCACAAAGAAGTTTCTGAGAATGCTTCCGTCTAGTTTTTATGAGAAAATATTTCCTTTTTCAGCATAGGCCCCAAAGCGTTCCAAATATCCACTTGCAGATTCCAACAAAACAGTGTTTCAAAACCGCTCTATCAAAAGGAATGTTCAACTCTGTGGGTTGAATGCACCCATCACAACAAAGTTTCTGAGAATGCTTCTTTCTAGTTTTTTTGGGAAGATATTTACTTTTTCAACAAAGGTTTCAAAGCGTTCCAAATATCCACTCGCAGATTCCACAAAAATAGTGTTTCACAACTGCTTTACCAAAATAAAGGTTAAACTTTGTGAGTTGAAAGCACAGATCCCAAAGAAATTTCTGTCAATGCTTCTGTCTAGTTTCGATGTTAAGATATACCCGTTTCCAACGAATTCCTCAAAGCGGTCCAAATATCCATTTGCAGATTCGTCAAAAAGGCATTTCAAAACTACTCTATCTAAAGGAATGTTCAACTCTGTGAGTTGAATGCACGCATCACAAAGAAGTTTCTGATAATGCTTCAGTTTAGCTTTTATGTGAAGATTATCCCTTTTCCAACGAAATCTTCAAAGAGGTCCAAATATCCACTTGCAGATCCCACAGAAAGAGTGTTTAGAAACTGCTGTTTCAAATGCAATCTTCAACTCTGTGAGTTGAATGCAATCATCACAAAGCAGTTTCTGAGAATGCTTCTGTCTAGTTTTTATGTGAAGATATTTTCTTTTCCATTATAGACCTGAAAGCGCTCCAAATGTCCACTTGCAGATTCTACGAAAGGAGAGTTTCAAAACTCCTCTATGAAAAGCAATGTGAAACTGTGTGACTCGAACACAAACATCACAAAGAAGTTTCTGAGAATGTTTCAGTTTAGTTTTTCTGTGAAGATATTCCCGTTTCCAAAGAAATCTTCAAAGAGGTCCACATATCCTTTTACAGATTCTACAAAAAGAGAGTTTCCAAACGGCTCAATCAAAAGGAGGGCTCAACTCTGTGACTTGCATGCAATCATCACCCAGAAGATTCTGAGAATGCTTCTCTTGAGTTTTTACGTGAAGATATACCCGTTTCCAGCGAAGGGCACACAGTGGTCCAAATTCCCACCTGCAGATTCTACAAAAAGAGTGTTTCATACCTAAACTATGAAAGGAAGGTCAACTCTGTGAGTTGAATGCAAACCTCACAAAGAAGTTTCGGAGAATGCTTCCGTGTAGTTCTGGGAAGTTTCTCCCGTTTCCAACGAAATTCTCAGAGAGGTCCAAATATCCACTTGCAGAATCTACAAAAAGTGTCTTTGGAAATTGCTCCATCTACAGGAATGTTCAGCTCTCTGAGATAAATACAATCATCACAAAGAATTTTCTGTGAATGCTTCCGTTTGGTTTTTATGTGAAGTTATTTCCTTTAATACCGTAGGCCACAAAGCAGTCCAAATCTCCAATTGCAGATTGTACAAAAAGAGTGTTTACAAACTGCACTATCCATAGGAATGTTCAACTCTGTGAGTCGAATGCAATCATCACAAAGTAGTTTCTGAGAATGCTTCTATCTAGTTTTTATGTGAAGATGTTTCCTTTTCCACCACAGGCCTGGACGCACTCCAAATGTCCACTTGCAGTTCTACGAAAGGAGTGTCTCAAAACCGCTCTATGAAAAGCGAGGTTAAACTGTGTGATTCGAACACAAACATCACAAAGAAGTTTGGGAGAACGCTTCAGTATAGTTTTTCTGTGAAAATATTCCCGTTTCCAAAGAAATCTTCAAAGAAGTCCGCATGTCCTCTTACAGATTCTACAAAAAGAGAGTTTCCAAACTGCTCAATCAAATGGAGGGTTCAACTCTGTGACTTGACTGCAATCGTCACACAGAAGTTTCTGAGAATGCTTCTCTTGAGTTTTTACGGGAAGATATACCCGTTTCGAACGAAGGCCTCACAGTGGTCCAAATATCCACCTGCAGATTCTACCAAAAGAGTGTCTCAAAGCTGAACTATGAAAGGAAGGTTCAACTCTGTGAGTTGTATGCAAACATCACAAAGAAGTTTCGGAGAATGCTTCCGTGTAGTTCTGGGAAGTTTATCCCGTTTCCAACACAATCCTCAGAGAGGTCCGAATATCCACTTGCAGATCCTACAAAAAGTGTGTTTGGAAACTGCTCCGTCTAAAGGAATGTTCAGCTCTCTCAGTTAAATACAATCATCACAAAGAATTTTCTGTGAATGCTTCCATCTGGTTTTTATATGAAGTTATTTCCTTTACTACCGTAGGTCTCAAAGCCGTCCAAATATCCAACGGCAGATTCTACAAAAAGAGTGTTGACAAACTGTTCTATCCATAGGAATGTCCAACTCTGTGAGTCGAATGCAATCATCACAAAGTAGTTTCTGAGAATGCTTCTATCTAGTATTCATGTGAAGATATTTCCTTTTCCACCGCAGGCCTCAAAGCCCTCCAAATGTCCACTTGCACATTCTAGAAAAAGAGTGTTTCATAGCTGCTCTTTCCAGAGGAAAGTTCAACTCTGGAAGTTGAACACAAACATCACAAAGTAGTTTCTGAGAATGCTTCTGTTTAGTTTTTATGTGAAGATTAACCCGTTTCCAATGAAATCTTCAAAGAGTTCCACATATCCACTTGCACATTCCAAAGAAAGTGAGTTTCAAAACTGCTCCGTCAACAGGATTGTTCAACTCTGTGAGTTGAATGCAGTCCTCACAGGAAACATTCTGAGAATGCTTCTGTCTAGGTTTGATGTGAAGATATACCCGCTTCGAAGGAAGGCCACAGAGTGGTGCAAATATCCACATGCAGATTCTACAGGAAGAGTGTTTGAAAGCTGAACTATGAAAGGAAGGTTCAACCCTGTGAGTTGAATGCAAACATCACAAACAAGTTTCGGAGAATGCTTCCGATTACTTCTGGGAAGTTTATACAGTTTCCAACGAAATCCTCAGAGAAGTCCAAATTTCCACTTGCAGATTCTACAAAAAGTGTGTTTGGAAACTGCTCCATCAAAACGAATGTTCAACTCTGAGTTAAACTCGATAGTCACAAAGAACTTTCTGAGAGTGCTACTGTCTAGTTCTTATATGAAGTTCTTCCCTTTACTACCGTAGGCTTCAAAGTGGTCCAAATCTCCACTTGCAGATTCGACAGAGTGTTTCCAAACTGCTCTCTCAAAAGGAATGAAGGTCTAAATCACAGAGTTCGACGCTATCATCACAGAGTCTTTTCTGAGAGTTCTTCTATGTAGTTTTTATGAGAAGATATTTCCTTTTCCCCCACAGTCCACAAAGCACTCCAAATGTCCACCTACAGATTCTAGAAAACGAGCGTCTCCAAGGTGCTGTATCTGAGGGAAAGTTCAACTCTGTGAGGTGAATGCAAACATCACAAAGAAGTTTCTGAGAATGCTTCGGTTTAGCTTTTATCTGAAGTTTATCCCATTTCCAACGAAATCTTCAAAGAGGTCCAAATATCCACTGGCCGATCCCACAGAAAGAGTGTTTCGAAACTGCTGCTTCAAAAGGAATCTTCAACTCTGTGAGTTGAATGCAATCATCACAAAGAAGTTTCTGACAATGCTTCTCTCTACTTCTTATGTGAACATGTTTCCTTTTCCAGCACAGGCCTGGAAGCGCTCCACATGTCCACTTGCAGATTCTACGAAAGGAGTGTCTCAAAACCGCTCTGTGAAAAGCGAGGTTAAACTGTGTGACCCGAACACAAACATCACAAAGAAGTTTGTGAGAATGCTTGAGTTTAGTTTTTCTGTGAAGATATTCCCGTTTCCAAAGGAATCTTCAAAGAAGTCCGCATATCCTCTTACAGATTCTACAAAAAGAGAGTTTCCAAACTGCTCAATCAAATGGAGGGTTCAACTCTGTGACCTGAATGCAATCATCACACAGAAGTTTCTGAGAATGCTTCTCTTGAGTTTTTACGTGAAGGTATAACCGTTTCGAACGAAGGCCTCACAGTGGTCCAAATATCCACCTGCAGATTCTACCAAAAGACTGTCTCAAAGCTGAACTATGAAAGGAATGTTCAACTCTGTGAGTTGTATGCAAACATCACAAAGAAGTTTTGGAGAATGCTTCCGTGTAGTTCTGGGAAGTTTATCCCGTTTCCAATGCAATCCTCAGAGAGGTCCGAATATCCACCTGCAGATCCTACAAAAAGTGTGTTTGGAAACTGCTCCATCTAAAGGAATGTTCAGCTCTCTCAGTTAAATACAATCATCGCAAAGAATTTTCTGTGAATGCTTCCGTTTGCTTTTTATGTGAAGTTATTTCCTTTACTTCCATAGGCCTCAAAGCCGTCCAAATCTCCAATTGCAGATTCTACAAAAAGAGTGTTTACAAACTGTTCTATCCATAGGAATGTCCAACTCTGTGAGTCCGATGCAATCATCACAAAGTGGTATCTGAGAATGCTTCTATCTAGTTTTCATGTGAAGATATTTCCCTTTCCACCGCAGGCCTCAAAGCCCTCCAAATGTCCACTTGCACATTCTAGAAAAAGAGCGTTTCATAGCTGCTCTTTCCAGAGGAAAGTTCAATTCCGGAAGTTGAACACAAACATCACAAAGTAGTTTCTGAGAATGCTTCTGTTTAGTTTTTATGTGAAGATGAACCCGTTTCCAACGAAATCTTCAAAGAGGTCCACATATCCACTTGCAGATTCCAAAGAAAGGGAGTTTCAAAACTGCTCCGTCAACAGGATTGTTCAACTCTGTGAGTTGAATGCAGTCCTCACAGGAAACATTCTGAGAATGCTTCTGTCTAGGTTTGATGTGAAGATATACCCGTTTCGAAGGAAGGCCACAAAGTGGTGCAAATATCCACTTGCAGATTCTACAGAAAGAGTGTTTGAAAGCTGAACTATGAAAGGAAGGTTCAGCCTGTGAGTTGAATGCAAACATCACAAAGAAGTTTCGGAGAATGCTTCCGATTACTTCTGGGAAGTTTATCCCCTTTCCAACGAAATCCTTAGAGAAGTCCAAATTTACACTTGCAGATTCTACCAAAAGTGTGTTTGGAAACTGCTCCATCAAAACGAATGTTCAGCTCTCTGAGTTAAACTCCATCGTCACAAAGAATTTTCTGAGAGTGCTACTGTCTAGTTCTTATATGAAGTTCTTCCCTTTACTACCATAGGCCTCAAAGCGGTCCAAATCTCCACTTGCAGATTCGACAGAAAGAGTGTTTCCAAACTGCTCTCTCAAAAGGAATGAATGTCCAACTCTGTGAGTTGAATGCTATCATCACAGAGTCGTTTCTGAGAGTGCTTCTATGTAGTTTTTATGAGAAGATATTCCCTTTTCCACCACAGTCCACAAAGCCCTCCAAATGTCCACCTGCAGATTCTAGAAAACGAGCGTTTCAAAGGTGCTGTATCAGAGGGAAAGTTCGACTCTGTGAGGTGAATGCAAACATCACAAAGAAGTTTCTGAGAATGCTTCGGTTTAGCTTTTATGTGAAGTTTATCCCATTTCCAACGAAATCTTCGAAGAGGTCCAAATATCCACTGGCCGATCCCACAGAAAGAGTGTTTTGAAACTGCTGTTTCAAACGGGATCTTCAACTCTGTGAGTTGAATGCAATCATCACAAAGACGTTTCTGACAATGCTTCTCTCTAGTTCTTATGTGAAGATGTTTCCTTTTCCACCACAGGCCTGGAAGCGCTCCACATGTCCACTTGCAGATTCTACAAAAGGAGTGTCTCAAAACCGCTCTGTGAAAAGCGAGGTTAAACTGTGTGACCCGAACACAAACATCACAAAGAAGTTTGCGAGAATGCTTCAGTTTAGTTTTTCTGTGAAGATATTCCCGTTTCCAAAGAAATCTTCAAAGAAGTCCGCATATCCTCTTACAGATTCTACAAAAAGAGAGTTTCCAAACTGCTCAATCAAATGGAGGGTTCAACTCTGTGACCTGAATGCAATCACCACACAGAAGTTTCTGAGAATGCTCCTCTTGAGTTTTTACGTGAAGGTGTCCCCGTTTCGAACGAAGGCCTCACAGTGGTCCAAATATCCACCTGCAGAATCTACAAAAAGAGTGTCTCAAAGCTGAACTATGAAAGGAAGGTTCAACTCTGTGAGTTGTATGCAAACATCACAAAGAAGTTTCGGAGAATGCTTCCGTGTAGTTCTGGGAAGTTTATCCCGTTTCCAATGCAATCCTCAGAGAGGTCCGAATATCCACCTGCAGATCCTACAAAAAGTGAGTTTGGAAACTGCTCCATCTAAAGGAATGTTCAGCTCTCTCAGTTAAATACAATCATCGCAAAGAATTTTCTGTGAATGCTTCCGTTTGTTTTTGTGTGAAGTTATTTCCTTTACTTCCGTAGGCCTCAAAGCCGTCCAAATCTCCAATTGCAGATTCTACAAAAAGAGTGTTTACAAACTGTTCTATCCATAGGAATGTCCAACTCTGTGAGTCCGATGCAATCATCAAAAAGTGGTTTCTGAGAATGCTTCTATCTAGTTTTCATGTGAAGATATTTCCCTTTCCACCGCAGGCCTCAAAGCCCTCCAAATGTCCACTTGCACATTCTAGAAAAAGAGCGTTTCATAGCTGCTCTTTCCAGAGGAAAGTTCAATTCCGGAAGTTGAACACAAACATCACAAAGTAGTTTCTGAGAATGCTTCTGTTTAGTTTTTATGTGAAGATGAACCCGTTTCCAACGAAATCTTCAAAGAGGTCCACATATCCACTTACAGATTCCAAAGAAAGGGAGTTTCAAAACTGCTCCGTCAACAGGATTGTTCAACTCTGTGAGTTGAATGCAGTCCTCACAGGAAACATTCTGAGAATGCTTCTGTCTAGGTTTGATGTGAAGATATACCCGTTTCGAAGGAAGGCCACAAAGTGGTGCAAATATCCACTTGCAGATTCTACAGAAAGAGTGTTTGAAAGCTGAACTTGGAAGGATGGTTCAGCCTGTGAGTTGAATGCAAACATCACAAAGAAGTTTCGGAGAATGCTTCCGATTACTTCTGGGAAGTTTATCCCCTTTCCAACGAAATCCTTAGAGAAGTCCAAATTTACACTTGCAAATTCTACCAAAAGTGTGTTTGGAAACTGCTCCATCAAAGCGAATGTTCAGCTCTCTGAGTTAAACTCCATCGTCACAAAGAATTTTCTGAGAGTGCTACTGTCTAGTTCTTATATGAAGTTCTTCCCTTTACTACCATAGGCCTCAAAGCGGTCCAAATCTCCACTTGCAGATTCGACAGAAAGAGTGATTCCAAACTGCTCTCTCAAAAGGAATGAATGTCCAACTCTGTGAGTTGAATGCTATCATCACAGAGTCGTTTCTGAGAGTGCTTCTATGTAGTTTTTATGAGAAGATATTCCCTTTTCCACCACAGTCCACAAAGCCCTCCCAATGTCCACCTGCAGATTCTAGCAAACGAGCGTTTCAAAGGTGCTGTATCAGAGGGAAAGTTCGACTCTGTGAGGTGAATGCAAACATCACAAAGAAGTTTCTGAGAATGCTTCGGTTTAGCTTTTATGTGAAGTTTATCCCATTTCCAACGAAATCTTCGAAGAGGTCCAAATATCCACTGGCCGATCCCACAGAAAGAGTGTTTCAAAACTGCTGTTTCAAACGGAATCTTCAACTCTGTGAGTTGAATGCAATCATCACAAAGACGTTTCTGACAATACTTCTCTCTAGTTCTTATGTGAAGATGTTTCCTTTTCCACCACAGGCCTGGAAGCGCTCCACATGTCCACTTGCAGATTCTACGAAAGGAGTGTCTCAAAACCGCTCTGTGAAAAGCGAGGTTAAACTGTGTGACCCGAACACAAACATCACAAAGAAGTTTGCGAGAATGCTTCAGTTTAGTTTTTCTGTGAAGATATTCCCGTTTCCAAAGAAATCTTCAAAGAAGTCCGCATATCCTCTTACAGATTCTACAAAAAGAGAGTTTCCAAACTGCTCAATCAAATGGAGGGTTCAACTCTGTGACCTGAATGCAATCATCACACAGAAGTTTCTGAGAATGCTCCTCTTGAGTTTTTACGTGAAGGTGTACCCGTTTCGAACGAAGACCTCACAGTGGTCCAAATATCCACCTGCAGATTCTACCAAAAGAGTGTCTCAAAGCTGAAGTATGAAAGGAAGGTTCAACTCTGTGAGTTGTATGCAAACATCACAAAGAAGTTTCGGAGAATGCTTCCGTGTAGTTCTGGGAAGTTTATCCCGTTTCCAACGCAATCCTCAGAGAGGTCCGAATATCCACCTGCAGATCCTACAAAAAGTGTGTTTGGAAACTGCTCCATCTAAAGGAATGTTCAGCTCTCTCAGTTAAATACAATCATCGCAAAGAATTTTCTGTGAATGCTTCCATTTGGTTTTTATGTGAAGTTATTTCCTTTACTTCCGTAGGCCTCAAAGCCGTCCAAATCTCCAATTGCAGATTCTACAAAAAGAGTGTTTACAAACTGTTCTATCCATAGGAATGTCCAACTCTGTGAGTCCGATGCAATCATCAAAAAGTGGTTTCTGAGAATGCTTCTATATAGTTTTCATGTGAAGATATTTCCCTTTCCACCGCAGGCCTCAAAGCCCTCCAAATGTCCACTTGCACATTCTAGAAAAAGAGCGTTTCATAGCTGCTCTTTCCAGAGGAAAGTTCAATTCCGGAAGTTGGACACAAACATCACAAAGTAGTTTCTGAGAATGCTTCTGTTTAGTTTTTATGTGAAGATGAACCCGTTTCCAACGAAATCTTCAAAGAGGTCCACATATCCACTTGCAGATTCCAAAGAAAGAGAGTTTCAAAACTGCTCCATCAACAGGAGTGTTCAACTCTGTGAGTTGAATGCAGTCCTCACAGGAAACATTCTGAGAATGCTTCTGTCTAGGTTTGATGTGAAGATATACCCGTTTCGAAGGAAGGCCACAAAGTGGTGCAAATATCCACTTGCAGATTCTACAGAAAGAGTGTTTGAAAGCTGAACTATGAAACGAAGGTTCAGCCTGTGAGTTGAATGCAAACATCACAAAGAAGTTTCGGAGAATGCTTCCGATTACTTCTGGGAAGTTTATCCCCTTTCCAACGAAATCCTTAGAGAAGTCCAAATTTACACTTGCAGATTCTACCAAAAGTGTGTTTGGAAACTGCTCCATCAAAACGAATGTTCAGCTCTCTGAGTTAAACTCCATCGTCACAAAGAATTTTCTGAGAGTGCTACTGTCTAGTTCTTATATGAAGTTCTTCCCTTTACTACCATAGGCCTCAAAGCGGTCCAAATCTCCACTTGCAGATTCGACAGAAAGAGTGTTTCCAAACTGCTCTCTCAAAAGGAATGAATGTCCAACTCTGTGAGTTGAATGCTATCATCACAGAGTCGTTTCTGAGAGTGCTTCTATGTAGTTTTTGTGAGAAGATATTCCCTTTTCCACCACAGTCCACAAAGCCCTCCCAATGTCCACCTGCAGATTCTAGCAAACGAGCGTTTCAAAGGTGCTGTATCAGAGGGAAAGTTCGACTCTGTGAGGTGAATCCAAACATCACAAAGAAGTTTCTGAGAATGCTTCGGTTTAGCTTTTATGTGAAGTTTATCCCATTTCCAACGAAATCTTCGAAGAGGTCCAAATATCCACTGGCCGATCCCACAGAAAGAGTGTTTCGAAACTGCTGTTTCAAACGGAATCTTCAACTCTGTGAGTTGAATGCAATCATCACAAAGACGTTTCTGACAATACTTCTCCCTAGTTCTTATGTGAAGATGTTTCCTTTTCCACCACAGGCCTGGAAGCGCTCCACATGTCCACTTGCAGATTCTACGAAAGGAGTGTCTCAAAACCGCTCTGTGAAAAGCGAGGTTAAACTGTGTGACCCGAACACAAACATCACAAAGAAGTTTGCGAGAATGCTTCAGTTTAGTTTTTCTGTGAAGATATTCCCGTTTCCAAAGAAATCTTCAAAGAAGTCCGCATATCCTCTTACAGATTCTACAAAAAGAGAGTTTCCAAACTGCTCAATCAAATGGAGGGTTCAACTCTGTGACCTGAATGCAATCATCACACAGAAGTTTCTGAGAATGCTCCTCTTGAGTTTTTACGTGAAGGTGTACCTGTTTCGAACGAAGGCCTCACAGTGGTGCAAATATCCACCTGCAGATTCTACCAAAAGAGTGTCTCAAAGCTGAACTATGAAAGGAAGGTTCAACTCTGTGAGTTGTATGCAAACATCACAAAGAAGTTTCGGAGAATGCTTCCGTGTAGTTCTGGGAAGTTTATCCCGTTTCCAACGCAATCCTCAGAGAGGTCCGAATATCCACCTGCAGATCCTACAAAAAGTGTGTTTGGAAACTGCTCCATCTAAAGGAATGTTCAGCTCTCTCAGTTAAATACAATCATCGCAAAGAATTTTCTGTGAATGCTTCCATTTGGTTTTTATGTGAAGTTATTTCCTTTACTTCCGTAGGCCTCAAAGCCGTCCAAATCTCCAATTGCAGATTCTACAAAAAGAGTGTTTACAAACTGTTCTATCCATAGGAATGTCCAACTCTGTGAGTCCGATGCAATCATCAAAAAGTGGTTTCTGAGAATGCTTCTATATAGTTTTCATGTGAAGATATTTCCCTTTCCACCGCAGGCCTCAAAGCCCTCCAAATGTCCACTTGCACATTCTAGAAAAAGAGCGTTTCATAGCTGCTCTTTCCAGAGGAAAGTTCAATTCCGGAAGTTGGACACAAACATCACAAAGTAGTTTCTGAGAATGCTTCTGTTTAGTTTTTATGTGAAGATGAACCCGTTTCCAACGAAATCTTCAAAGAGGTCCACATATCCACTTGCAGATTCCAAAGAAAGAGAGTTTCAAAACTGCTCCATCAACAGGAGTGTTCAACTCTGTGAGTTGAATGCAGTCCTCACAGGAAACATTCTGAGAATGCTTCTGTCTAGGTTTGATGTGAAGATATACCCGTTTCGAAGGAAGGCCACAAAGTGGTGCAAATATCCACTTGCAGATTCTACAGAAAGAGTGTTTGAAAGCTGAACTATGAAACGAAGGTTCAGCCTGTGAGTTGAATGCAAACATCACAAAGAAGTTTCGGAGAATGCTTCCGATTACTTCTGGGAAGTTTATCCCCTTTCCAACGAAATCCTTAGAGAAGTCCAAATTTACACTTGCAGATTCTACCAAAAGTGTGTTTGGAAACTGCTCCATCAAAACGAATGTTCAGCTCTCTGAGTTAAACTCCATCGTCACAAAGAATTTTCTGAGAGTGCTACTGTCTAGTTCTTATATGAAGTTCTTCCCTTTACTACCATAGGCCTCAAAGCGGTCCAAATCTCCACTTGCAGATTCGACAGAAAGAGTGTTTCCAAACTGCTCTCTCAAAAGGAATGAATGTCCAACTCTGTGAGTTGAATGCTATCATCACAGAGTCGTTTCTGAGAGTGCTTCTATGTAGTTTTTGTGAGAAGATATTCCCTTTTCCACCACAGTCCACAAAGCCCTCCCAATGTCCACCTGCAGATTCTAGCAAACGAGCGTTTCAAAGGTGCTGTATCAGAGGGAAAGTTCGACTCTGTGAGGTGAATCCAAACATCACAAAGAAGTTTCTGAGAATGCTTCGGTTTAGCTTTTATGTGAAGTTTATCCCATTTCCAACGAAATCTTCGAAGAGGTCCAAATATCCACTGGCCGATCCCACAGAAAGAGTGTTTCGAAACTGCTGTTTCAAACGGAATCTTCAACTCTGTGAGTTGAATGCAATCATCACAAAGACGTTTCTGACAATACTTCTCCCTAGTTCTTATGTGAAGATGTTTCCTTTTCCACCACAGGCCTGGAAGCGCTCCACATGTCCACTTGCAGATTCTACGAAAGGAGTGTCTCAAAACCGCTCTGTGAAAAGCGAGGTTAAACTGTGTGACCCGAACACAAACATCACAAAGAAGTTTGCGAGAATGCTTCAGTTTAGTTTTTCTGTGAAGATATTCCCGTTTCCAAAGAAATCTTCAAAGAAGTCCGCATATCCTCTTACAGATTCTACAAAAAGAGAGTTTCCAAACTGCTCAATCAAATGGAGGGTTCAACTCTGTGACCTGAATGCAATCATCACACAGAAGTTTCTGAGAATGCTCCTCTTGAGTTTTTACGTGAAGGTGTACCTGTTTCGAACGAAGGCCTCACAGTGGTGCAAATATCCACCTGCAGATTCTACCAAAAGAGTGTCTCAAAGCTGAACTATGAAAGGAAGGTTCAACTCTGTGAGTTGTATGCAAACATCACAAAGAAGTTTCGGAGAATGCTTCCGTGTAGTTCTGGGAAGTTTATCCCGTTTCCAACGCAATCCTCAGAGAGGTCCGAATATCCACCTGCAGATCCTACAAAAAGTGTGTTTGGAAACTGCTCCATCTAAAGGAATGTTCAGCTCTCTCAGTTAAATACAATCATCGCAAAGAATTTTCTGTGAATGCTTCCGTTTGGTTTTTATGTGAAGTTATTTCCTTTACTTCCGTAGGCCTCAAAGCCGTCCAAATCTCCAATTGCAGATTCTACAAAAAGAGTGTTTACAAACTGTTCTACCCATAGGAATGTCCAACTCTGTGAGTCCGATGCAATCATCAAAAAGTGGTTTCTGAGAATGCTTCTATCTAGTTTTCATGTGAAGATATTTCCCTTTCCACCGCAGGCCTCAAAGCCCTCCAAATGTCCACTTGCACATTCTAGAAAAAGAGCATTTCATAGCTGCTCTTTCCAGAGGAAAGTTCAATTCCGGAAGTTGAACACAAACATCACAAAGTAGTTTCTGAGAATGCTTCTGTTTAGTTTTTATGTGAAGATGAACCCGTTTCCAACGAAATCTTCAAAGAGGTCCACATATCCACTTGCAGATTCCAAAGAAAGGGAGTTTCAAAACTGCTCCGTCAACAGGATTGTTCAACTCTGTGAGTTGAATGCAGTCCTCACAGGAAACATTCTGAGAATGCTTCTGTCTAGGTTTGATGTGAAGATATACCCGTTTCGAAGGAAGGCCACAAAGTGGTGCAAATATCCACTTGCAGATTCTACAGAAAGAGTGTTTGAAAGCTGAACTATGAAAGGAATGTTCAACCCTGTGAGTTGAATGCAAACATCACAAAGAAATTTCGGAGAATGCTTCCGATTACTTCTGTGAAGTTTATCCCCTTTCCAACGAAATCCTCAGAGAAGTCCAAATTTACACTTGCAGATTCTACAGAAAGTGTGTTTGGAAACTGCTCCATCAAAACGAATGTTCAGCTCTCTGAGTTAAACTCCATCGTCACAAAGAATTTTCTGAGAGTGCTACTGTCTAGTTCTTATATGAAGTTCTTCCCCTTACTACCATAGGCCTCACAGCGGTCCAAATCTCCACTTGTAGATTCAACAGAAAGAGTGTTTCCAAACTGCTCTCTCAAAAGGAATGAATGTCCAACTCTGTGAGTTGAATGCTATCATCACAGAGTCGTTTCTGAGAGTGCTTCTATGTCGTTTTTATGAGAAGATATTCCCTTTTCCACCACAGTCCACAAAGCCCTCCCAATGTCCACCTGCAGATTTTAGAAAACGAGCATTTCAAAGGTGCTGTATCAGAGGGAAAGTTCGACTCTGTGAGGTGAATGCAAACATCACAAAGAAGTTTCTGAGAATGCTTCGGTTTAGCTTTTATGTGAAGTTTATGCCATTTCCAACGAAATCTTCAAAGAGGTCCAAATATCCACTGGCCGATCCCACAGAAAGAGTGTTTCGAAACTGCTGTTTCAAACGGAATCTTCAACTCTGCGAGTTGAATGCAATCATCACAAAGAAGTTTCTGACAATGCTTCTCTCTAGTTCTTATATGAAGATGTTTCCTTTTCCACCACAGGCCTGGAAGCCCTCCACATGTCCACTTGCAGATTCTACGAAAGGAGTGTCTCAAAACCGCTCTGTGAAAAGCGAGGTTAAACTGTGTGACTCGAACACAAACATCACAAAGAAGTTTGCGAGAATGCTTCAGTTTAGTTTTTCTGTGAAGATATTCCCGTTTTCAAAGAAATCTTCAAAGAAGTCCGCATATCCTCTTACAGATTCTACAAAAAGAGAGTTTCCAAACTGCTCAATCAAATGGAGGGTTCAACTCTGTGACCTGAATGCAATCATCACACAGAAGTTTCTGACAATGCTCCTCTTGAGTTTTTACGTGAAGGTGTACCCGTTTCGAACGAAGGCCTCACAGTGGTCCAAATATCCACCTGCAGATTCTACCAAAAGTGTGTCTCAAAGCTGAAGTATGAAAGGAAGGTTCAACTCTGTGAGTTGTATGCAAACATCACAAAGAACTTTCGGAGAATGCTTCCGTGTAGTTCTGGGAAGTTTATCCCGTTTCCAATGCAATCCTCAGAGAGGTCCGAATATCCACCTGCAGATCCTACAAAAAGTGTGTTTGGAAACTGCTCCATCTAAAGGAATGTTCAGCTCTCTCAGTTAAATACAATCATCGCAAAGAATTTTCTGTGAATGCTTCCGTTTGGTTTTTATGTGAAGTTATTTCTTTTACTTCCGTAGGCCTCAAAGCCGTCCAAATCTCCAATTGCAGATTCTACAAAAAGAGTGTTTACAAACTGTTCTATCCATAGGAATGTCCAACTCTGTGAGTCCGATGCAATCATCCCAAAGTGGTTTCTGAGAATGCTTCTATCTAGTTTTCATGTGAAGATATTTCCCTTTCCACCGCAGGCCTCAAAGCCCTCCAAATGTCCACTTGCACATTCTAGAAAAAGAGCGTTTCATAGCTGCTCTTTCCAGAAGAAAGTTCAATTCCGGAAGTTGAACACAAACATCACAAAGTAGTTTCTGAGAATGCTTCTGTTTAGTTTTTATGTGAAGATGAACCCGTTTCCAACGGAATCTTCAAAGAGGTCCACATATCCACTTGCAGATTCCAAAGAAAGGGAGTTTCAAAACTGCTCCATTAACAGGATTGTTCAACTCTGTGAGTTGAATGCAGTCCTCACAGGAAACATTCTGAGAATGCTTCTGTCTAGGTTTGATGTGAAGATATACCCGTTTCGAAGGAAGACCACAAAGTGGTGCAAATATCCACTTGCAGATTCCACAGAAAGAGTGTTTGAAAGCTGAACTATGAAACGAAGGTTCAGCCTGTGAGTTGAATGCAAACATCACAAAGAAGTTTCGGAGAATGCTTCCGATTACTTCTGGGAAGTTTATCCCCTTTCCAACGAAATCCTTAGAGAAGTCCAAATTTACACTTGCAGATTCTACCAAAAGTGTGTTTGGAAACTGCTCCATCAAAACGAATGTTCAGCTCTCTGAGTTAAACTCCATCGTCACAAAGAATTTTCTGAGAATGCTACTGTCTAGTTCTTATATGAAGTTCTTCCCTTTACTACCATAGGCCTCAAAGCGGTCCAAATCTCCACTTGCAGATTCGACAGAAAGAGTGTTTCCAAACTGCTCTCTCAAAAGAAATGAATGTCCAACTCTGTGAGTTGAATGCTATCATCACAGAGTCGTTTCTGAGAGTGCTTCTATGTAGTTTTTATGAGAAGATATTCCCTTTTACACCACAGTCCACAAAGCCCTCCCAATGTCCACCTGAAGATTCTAGAAAACGAGCGTTTCAAAGGTGCTGTATCAGAGGGAAAGTTCGACTCTGTGAGGTGAATGCAAACATCACAAAGAAGTTTCTGAGAATGCTTCGGTTTAGCTTTTATGTGAAGTTTATCCCATTTCCAACGAAATCTTCGAAGAGGTCCAAATATCCACTGGCCGATCCCACAGAAAGAGTGTTTTGAAACTGCTGTTTCATACAGGATCTTCAACTCTGTGAGTTGAATGCAATCATCACAAAGACCTTTCTGACAATGCTTCTCTCTAGTTCTTATGTGAAGATGTTTCCTTTTCCACCACAGGCCTGGAAGCGCTCCACATGTCCACTTGCAGATTGTACAAAAGGAGTGTCTCAAAACCGCTCTGTGAAAAGCGAGGTTAAACTGTGTGACCCGAACACAAACATCACAAAGAAGTTTGCGAGAATGCTTCAGTTTAGTTTTTCTGTGAAGATATTCCCGTTTCCAAAGAAATCTTCAAAGAATTC